>NW_019805500.1:320276-480415 GCF_000001405.40 Homo sapiens
AACCTCAGGTGATCTGCCCGCCTACGCCTTCCAAAGTGCTGGGATTACAAGCATGAGCCACCATGCCTGGCCTCTCCTTATTCTCTTGCTGGGTGAACTTGAATGAGCTACCTCCACTTTTTAAGCCTCAGTTTTCAAGTACGTAAAATGGAGGCAATGACTGTGCATTTATTGGGAAGGGCTTACTTTCAAGGCCACAGAAAGAAATACATGAAAAAAAATCTATCAGAATGCCTGGAACTTATAATAAATGATCTTGAAACATTTGTTCAATGCCTACCATGTTCAAGGTGCAGCACAGTACCTTGCCTGAGAGATTCTAAGAGCATGACAGGAAGGGTCCTGTCTTTATTCTATTTCCCAAATTCCGCATCAGAACACATAGGCTGATCAAAGAATGGGTCAGAGAGTGTGAAACAGAGACCATTCAGGAATTTTTTTTTTTTTTGGAAACTAAATCTGTGTCACCCAGGCTGGAGTGCAGTGGCGCAATCGTGGCTCACTGCAACCTCTGCCTCCCGGATTCAAGCGATTCTCATGACTCAGCCTCCCAAATAGGTAGGATTACAGGCAAGCACCACCACGCCCAGCTAGTTTTTGTATTTTTAGTACAGTCAGTTTCACCATATTGGCCAGGCTGGTCTTGAACTCCTGGCCTCAAGTGATCCTCCCATGTCGGCCTCCCAAAGTGCTGGGATTACAGGCGTGAGCCCCCACACCCCGCCCAGGAACATCTCATATCAAGATACCAAGCCTGAATTTGAATTCCAGCTCTGACATTTGAGGCACCCCTCACCCCATTTCTGGGCCTTAGTTTCCCCACTGAATGGAAATAATGGCCTATGTCATCTGGCCCCTTCGTACCTCTCCACCTTCTCCCATCCCCTTTTCTCAGCTCCCCTCCCCACTGGAATTCCTGGAGTCTTCAACCATGCTAAGCGCCAGGCAGTTCGCATGCTCTTTTCTTTCTGCCCAGAACAGCCTTTCTTCTGGCTCTTCTGGGACTAGCTCCTCATTCAACCCTCAGTCTTCCCTGGCCATCCTACATAACATAGCCCACTCCATTTGATCTGACAGCAGCTCCTTCTTCACTTCTTTATTACCACTAATCAACATTTGTAGTGATATATGTATTGTTTGTTTCCTGTCTCTTTCTTCCCCAGACTACGGAGGTTGTAAACATTCAGAAAAAGGAACCGTGCCTGTTTTGATTAGCAGTGTATTTCCAAAAACCTAGCACAGTGCCTGAAGCACAGCAGGTGCTCAATAAAGGCTTGATGAGGGGATGGGTGAAAGTTTGGCATTCCCTCCAATCTATCGCATCAAGGCCTTCATCTAACCCACTATGAAGACCCTCAAACACACCATTCCCAATGCTTACATCCAAAACCTCTTTCTGCCCCACCTCCTGAGGAAATGGGGCATGAGTTGTGAGTTTCCTTAGCTGTGTGACCTTGGAAAAGTTTCTTTTTTTTTTTTTTTTGAGACTGAGTCTTGCTCTGTCACCAGGCTGCAGTGCAGTGGTGCGATATCGGCTCACTGCAACCTCCGCCTCCTGGGTTCAAGCGATTCTCCTGCCTCAGCCTCCCAAGTAGCTAGGACTACAGGCCCCCACCACCACACCCAGCTAATTTTTTTGTATTTTTAGTATAGACGCGGTTTCACCATGTTGGCCAGGATGGTCTTGAACTCCTGACCTCGTGATCTGCCCACCTTGCCCTCCCAAAGTGCTGGGATTACAGGTATGAGCCACCGCATCTGGCCGACCTTGGAAAAGTTTCTTAACCACTCTGTGCCTAGGTTTTCTTACCACGGAAATGAGGTTAATGATAATAGTTCCTGACTCATAGAATTGTTTTTGGCACTGCATGAGTTAACATACATAAAGGACTTCGGTAAAATATACGTAAGGCACTTAGCACTTTTTATGCCTTGTATGTGAATAAATGTCATCTAGGGTAGGTGGAGCCCTGTCCCTACCATTCCATGCAGGTTTCCCTGAGTACCTTTTTTTCACACAGGTAGGTTAGCTCCTCATCTACAAAGTGCTCCTCAACTCTGAGGCCCATTGGAATCACCTAGAGAGCTACGAATTACCCTGGAGTTGTATCCATACCCACAACATCAGACTCCAGTGGGGCAGGCTGTACATCTGCTTTTTACTCTCCCCGGGTGATTCCAACATGAATCTGAAATTGAAAACCACTATAAACGCCTCATGCTCAAAGGATCTCACAACTGCCCACTGCACACTGCCCTCCCCAACAAACTTTACTATTTTTACTGTAATAGCCCACATTGGACAGTTCCCAAAGTACTAACTAGCCTTTTTTTTTTTTTTTTTTTTTTTTTTTTTTTTTTTGAGGCAGTCTCACTTTGTCATCCAGGCTGGAGTGCAGTGGCATGACCTCAGTTCACTGCAGCCTTGACTTCTTTGGTTCAAGCAATTCTCCTGCCTCAGCCTCTCAAGTAGCTGGGATTACAGGAATGCACCACCACGCTCTGCTACTTTTTGTATTTTTAGTAGAGATGGGGTTTCACCATGTTGGGCAGGCTGGTCTCGAACTCCTGACCTCAAGTGATCTCCCCGTGTCAGACTCCCGAAGTGCTGGGATTACAGGCATGAGCCACCACACCCAGCTATCTGTTCTGTTCTCCTTAGAGCAGTGGTTCTCAATCGGGGGCAATTTTGCCCTGTAGGGGACATATGGCAATGTCCATAGACATTGTGGTTCCAGGGATGGGGTGCTATTGGAATCTACTCGGTAGAGACCAGAGATGCTTCTAAACATCCTACAGTACCTGGGAACCCCTGCACACAAAAAATGACTTATCCAGCCCCAAATGGTATGGTGGCAAGGTTGGCAAACCCTGCTGCGGAGCTATCTTTTCTGTGAACTTGGGGAGGACAGCGCAGCCTTGCTAACAATGGGAAGGAAAGAAGAAGTAGTGAAGGGAACTTATCATCACTGAGTTTCAACACCAAACACATACCAAGCAGATGTTTCACGAATAATGACAATAGCCACTACTTTCTGAGCACCAAACAATGGCTTACAACAGAACGGAACCCCTGAGTTATCTTACTTAACTCACATGGCAACTCTGAGTTCTTTGACTGTGTTTTCGCTTCATGCATAAGACAGCGGGGACAGCAAGGTTAGGTAACTAGGCCAAAGTCACAAGACTTGTACATGACAGATTTAGATTTTAGCCTATTCTGTTAAACTTCAAAGAGAAGGCTACCCCAACAGATTAATGATGCCAGCTCACACCTCCTAAGCCTCACAGTACCTACCAGGCAGTGCTCTGAAGACCCGACAAGTAGAAACTTAATTCATTCCCATGAACTAGATAATATAATCATCATCGTCATCATCATCATCTCCATTTTACATCCTGGGACGCTGAGACAGAGTGCTGCAGTGTCCTTTGAAGAATTTCATGCAGCTGAGATAGGGTTTTAACAAGGGGTTTAGATCCAGAATCTGGCTCACTCCCACCATACTCTCCTGCCTCTAATAGAGCAATGAGCAGAAAGGATCGAATTCCAGCCTGCCTCAGGACCTCTGCACATGCTGCTCCTGATGATGTATATGTCTTCACTCTGGCCTCTTTGCCCTGCTAACTCTTTTTTACTCATTGGATCTCAGTTTATACTTCCATTGTCTAGGACACCCTCCTAGCCCTGCCAACTCACTGACCAGATGAGTTATCTCCGTTAAACTCTCTCCTAGCTCCCCTTCATAGCATTTCACACTTTAAAAGAACCCAACACTTGTGCAAGTGTTTGGTGACCATCAGTCTCCTCCTATAGACTATAGACTCCATGCAGACAGGAACTGTCTCTGCCTTGTGCAGTGCTGTATCTCCAGGCCCCTGGCATGATGTTTGGCACAAAGGGGGTGCTTGATGAAAGCTTGTGGCTGAATGCATGAAACAGAGAACCTAAAGGCAAAACAGCAGCTGGTGCCAATCCGGTCCATTTCCTCATCCCCAGAGAGGGACAGGGCCATCTGGCAGGTCCTAGCCAAATACCTCCATGGCAGGTCAGGGCTGCAGAGCTCTCCAGGCAAGCTGGCCATGGAGGCCATAAACCAACTCCTCAAAGCCATCTCTGCTTCATGGTGGCTGGTCTTTATCATTTTCCAATCAACACTGGTTGAGTTCTAATTGATTTTCTATGATATCCCTCTCCAGAAGGGAGAAAGGCTCTGTTTACTGGGGCAGTACGTAGAGGACAGGCCTATTCTTCCTGCTGTATTTAATGCTGCTGCTAATCACGGAGATTAGACTAAAACAATTACAACAGCTAATTAAAGAACAATGCGGTTTTTGGCATCTTCGCGCAGACGGCACCATTGGGAATTCCTAACTCGGGCAAAGCAGGGATAATTAAAACCCCGGCTCCACTCTCCCCACTCCAGCAGCTGGATCACGCTGATTAAACTGCAAATAAAACACATGAAACCAACACTTTGTAGTCTATCCAATTTCACTTAAAAGGGCTTTTAACTGATTCATAAACAGAGAAGCGGTAAACAGCAAATTATTTAACTAAAGCCAGTTATTTCGTCATCACGGTTCACTTTATTCCCAGCTCCGGACTTGTACATGTAGCCCAGGGGACATTAGGTTGATGGGGCCTGAGGAATCACTCCAGAGCTTACTGCCACTTGCTCCTGTTCACTGGCAACAGGACATCACCAGTGTGTAGCTGCTTTCTCTGGGTTTTTTCTCCTTTTGAAAAAAAAAGATCAGGTAGTGCCCAAGTCCCCAGATGAATATGCCCAGGTCTGATCAGACTCTGCTCTCGATTCTAGGTCAAGAGCAGATGGCAGAGACACAGAAAGTTCCGAAGCGCAGATAATACTAAAAGCATCATATGTAGCTTTAAAACATTTAACTTATTCAGAGCTGGCCAACTTCAGATCTAAAATGCAACCCGTATCTACTAAAGTATGAAACAGACTTGTTCTCAAGCTATGGGAAGACATGTCACAACAGCTGGGTAGAAAGCTCATTTGTTTTAGACAGGCACACTCTGAGACCCCAGCTCAGGTCCCATGCACACATGCTTCCCAACTCATCTTAACAAGCATGGTCATGGGGATTGCTAATTCTCTCTCCACCTTGCCAATCCAGAGACAACAAGGGAAAAAAGTGAGAAATAAAAAGAAAAAGGTCAAGGGAAAAAGAAAAGGACAGAAGAGAAAAGGGAGAAAATGGTAACGCTAGAGACAGGCTCACTGGGAGCAGCAAGAAGGGACAGAAAAAGAAAAAAATACCACAAGAAAGCAGACACAGGGATTTTCAGAGCCCAGCATGACACATGCGGTGAGGACCTAGGAGCCAGCGCCTGTCCCTTTGCAGTGGCCAGGTATGATGGTCACGTTCCACAGCAGTGCTTCTCAAACCAGCTGTGGAGAAAGGCCTTTGTATGCCCAGTCTACTGCAGGGTGCTAATTTTGTAAAATAAAACAAAAAAAGAAGCATTAAAAATAAAAGATTGACTTGCTTAGGTGCCATGCCATGTCCGGTTACTATAAAAGCTGCTGAAAGCTTGTCCTTCGTTTCTGAGCGCGTCTTCGTGCACACAGTGAGAAACCCTGGGGATGGCACTGGTCCATGGACCGACAACGCTCTGAGTAGTCCTTTTTGAAAAGATCCCCCACGGTCATTGGGAATAAACATAATCAGATTCATAGGATTCTATTTAATGTGCACCACATGTTTTTAGTGAACAAATGCAGGCTTTCAGACACACATAAATGTAGAAAACAAAGACCGGAAAGACATGCATCAAAGATTTTATTTCGGAATAATGATTTCACCGATCTTTCTTCTCTTTTTTTCAAGCTTTGTTATAAAATACTCATGAAAGTTATTTTTAAATGAATATTCCATTTATGAAGGCAAAGAAAGACGATGCTTTATCATAACACGAGTTATAGCTATTTATATATAATTATGGATGTTATTTATTTATAAGTATCTATTATGTGGTTCAAAAAACGCTATGTAACTGCATGTAGCCTCATGGAAAAAAAAATATGCAGCCAATATATATGATGTTTGAAAAGAATACTCTGGGCGGGGGTGCCGGGCACGGTGGCTCATGCCTGTAATCCCAGCACTTTGGGAGGCTGAGGTGGGCAGATTGCCTGAGGTCAGGAGTTCGAGACCAGTCTGGCCAACATGGTGAAACCCTGTCTCTACTAAAAATACAAAAAAATTAGCTGGGCATAGGTGGCGTGCGCCTGTAATCCCAGCTACTTGGGAGGCTAAGACAGGGGAATTGCTTGAACCAGGGTGGTGGAGGTTGCAGTGAGCCAAGATGGTGCCACTGCACTCTAGCCTGGGCGACAGAGCGAGACTCTGTCTCAAAACAAAAAGAATACTCTGATTTTAGAAGATGCTTTTGCAATTTGATCATCAAATTGCCAATATTGACCCTTTTCTGACCAATGAAAACAGCAATTTCATATAATTTAATCTAATATTAAATGGGATCTAAAAGGTTCCCATAAATAGAGGTTGAAATCAATTATGTAGAAAATACACATACACGGAAAAGAAGACTGGAAAAAAACATACAAAAAGCTGGCATGGCGATTTTATTTTTTCCTTCTTGGTCATTTTCCAAATTTCCAACCGTGGGAATATATTGCCTTATGAGTGGGGGAAAAAATTCCATTCAAACATTTAATTCAGAGAAATTGCTAGCATTTTTGAGAGTCTTACCCTAATCTGGCTACTTACTCTGTGTCTATGTGTACTGGGAGAAAGAGGATAATGAGAAATTTAAATTCATAAGTATTAACTGTTAGATGATTATTAAATTAGCTCATCATTTCTAAGCATGAACTGGGCAGGAAGCATCATGTCTATGCAGGGGAAAGCCCCTATGTTCAGGAGGGACCTGAGATCCGTGTTCCGCTTGTCTGAATCTGCCATCCATTATCCTGATTGTTTTCAAACAGCTTTACTGAGGTATAACTGACATACAAAAAAAAGTGCATGTACTTAATGTATGCATTTTGAAGAGTCTGGATACATGCACAGACTCGTGACACCATCACCACAATCAAGGTAACAGACATATCCGTCACCTCTAAAAGTCTCGTGTCCCCCTTTTTTGGTGGCAAGAACATTAACATGAGATCTACTCTCAATACATTTTTAAGTATACAATGCAGTATTGTTAACTACAGGTGCTATGCTGTCCAGCAGATCTCCACAACTTACTCGTCTTGCAGAACTGAAACTTTATACCAATTGGAAAATGCCTCCCCATTTTCCTCTCCCCCATCCCGTGGTAACCATTCTTTTATCCATCCTCCTGTGATCTTGGGCAAGTAACTCCCTCTTTTTGGCTTCAGTTCTCCTACCTTTAAAATAAAGAATTTTGAAAGGTTGACCTCTAAGCTCCTTTTGCCTTTGGTATTCCATGCTCTTAGTCCATGATGGCTGGAATAGACCCCCTAAGTCATGAGACCCAAGGCAAAATAAAAACACAGGACCTCGGCCTGGCACGGTGGCTCACGCCTGTAATCCCAGCACTTTCGGAGGCCGAGGCGGGCGGATCACAAGGTCAGGAGATCGAGACCATCCTGGCTGAAACGGTGAAACCCCTTATCTATTAAAAAATACAAAAAAATTAGCCGGGCGTGGTGGCAGGCACCTGTAGTCCCAGCTACTTGGGAGACTGAGGCAGGAGAATGGCGTGAACCGGGGAGGCGGAGCTTGCAGTGAGCCGAGATCGCGCCACTGCACTCCAGCCTGGGTGACAGAGTGAGACTCCATCTCAAAAACAAAAAAAAACAAAAAAAACAAAAACACAACAAAAAAAACACACAGGACCTCTTATGCAAAATTAATTAAGAATCTTAGGATGCTGACAACAGAAATTCAAACAAGTGCAGAGCCATGGAGCTGTGTGTGACTGCACAGGCCGCATGTCCATGAAGCCGACCCTGCTGATGGCAGAAGGCCAAGGACAAACACCACCAACCAAAATAAAAAATTCTCAGTTATACAATAGACAAGTTCTGAGGAGCTAATGGACAGCACGGGTGGGGAATGATGTGTTCATTCATTTGTGTAATGTCATCATCACACAATGTATGTGTATATCAAATCATCACACCTTGAACACATTGAATACATTCAACCTTTATATTCCAACTAAACGTTTTAAATTATTTTTTAAAAAGTGTTTGAGAGGCCAAGCATGTATATTTAAGAATTATTCACAAAGTAGATAAAACACCTGTCAACAAAAACAGCCATACTCGGGTTGAATGATTAAAAACGAGCAACAACTTCCTTTTCTTTTCTTTTTTCTTTTTTTTTTTTTTTTTTTGAGATAGAGTCTCGCTCTGTTTCCCAGGCTGGAGTGCAGTGGCGCCATCTTGGCTCACTGCAAGCTCCGCCCCCCGGGTTCACGCCATTCTCTTGCCTCAGCCTCTGGAGTAGCTGGGACTACAGGCACCCACCACCATGCCCGGCTAATTTTTTGTATTTTTAGTAGAGACGGAGTTTCACCGTGTTAGCCAGGATGGTCTCAATCTCCTGACCTCGTGATCCCGCCCCCCCCCCCCCCCCCCCCCCGCCTCGGCCTCCCAAAGTGCTGGGATTACAGGTGTGAGCCACCACGCCTGGCCAACAACTGCCTTTTCATAATTGATCACAATCAGCTTCTATTTTATAACTACGTCTTGGAATAGGCCATTATGCTTGGATTTCACAGGCAAGTCTGCATTTTCCTCGTCTTAAATTCCATCGCGGTGAGCCAAACTCAGTCAACCTTTTCTGTGCTAACATCTGTGATCAAGATTAAAGTAACTAACAGCCAGCTCTGGCTCTTGAAGCATAACTGGAGGATAAGATCAGGTATTTGCAAAGTGTGAGGCTCCAGCCACACTCCTCTGCTTCAAGGACTTGATGTTGCCTTGACTATCGTTACTCTGAACACTGGGAGGAGAGGACCATCATGGAGGGAGAAATTGAGTCCACCTCCCTCCTTTGAATTAATTGCAGGAGTAAACAACCACAGACCACGTAACCTCCCTTTCACAGAGCTCGGCTGTACAGAACAGCCTAGAATAGTAGGGAGAGACAGGTGCCCCGGGTTTACCACCAGAGCCTATTTTTCTCTGTATTCATTTCTAATGAATGAGATTATTTCTAGGGTTGAGAAGCAGGGCCAGCTGATTGTCACAATCAGGCATATTAAAAGCCATGATAGGCCGGGTGCAGTGGCTCAAACCTGTAATGCCAGCACTTTGGGAGGCTGATGTGGGCAGATCACCTGAGGTCAGCAGTTTGAGACCAGCCTAAGCAACATGGCAAAACCCCGTCTCTACTAAAAATACAAAAAAATTAGCCAGGCATGGTGGCGCACATCTGCAATCCCAGATACTCGGGAGGCTGAGGCAGAAGAATCGCTTGAGCCCAGGAGGTGGAGGTTGCAGTGAGCTGAGATTGTGCCACTGCACTCCAGCTTGGGTGACTGAGCAAGACTCCTTCTCAAAAAAAAAAAAAAAAAAAAAAAAAAAAGAAGGTGTGATAAATAACACTAGGCAAGAAATGCAAGAGCAGAAAAAAAATTATCAAAAAAGAGGCAGATTTTTATTTTTTAAAGGGACTCCAGGGTCACTGAGTGAAGAGCTACAGCATTTTTGATGCCCGTGCGCAACCATCAGTGCTTTTAGCAGAATCTAAAACCTAGTGCTTGAAATGATGGCTGGATTCTTCAAGGAAGGCTTCACACACATTCAGCGTACTCTATTTGAGAAGGCAGGAAAATAAATGGGTGATAGAGTTTAGAAAAATTCCTTAAAAGTAAAGCTTAACTCTCCAGAAATGAGGCTCCCAAAGCCTCCAAAACGCTCCAGATGGCTGAAGTTTTGCTGGAGGTATGCGTGTGTGCATGTTCACATTTTGTAGCATTTCTATGTACTGCTTTTAAAAATCCATCCTTATCACAGGCCTTCTTAGAACAGTGGTTTGCAAACTTTTTCAGTAAAGGGTCAGACAGTTAAGATTTTCAGTTTAGCAGGCCACGTGATCTCTCTCACAACGGCTCAGCTCTGCCGCTGTAGCTCAAAACAGACATAGACGAGTACGTAACAAATGGGCGAGGCTGTGTTCCAATAAAACTCCACTTACAAAAACAGATGGCTGGCAGCATTTAGCCCATGAGCCGTAGTTTATCAAGCCCTGCTCTGCCACAAGGAACATGGGCTCTGGACAGGGCAGGATCTGGATTCAAATTATTTCAATCCACCACTCTGTAACCGTGAGACTCAGTTTCCCTCTTTTACCATGGGGGGATATAATACATTGCTGCGTAACTGTAAACATCAATTGGAAAACATAGTAGATATTTGATACATGTTAACGTCCTTATGCCAATAGTAAATCTTTTCATCTTGCTGGTTTTCTTAGTTCTTTATCTATACGGGTCTTCATCCACATGGTTCTTTTCAGTCAAAAATGGCCTTTCTCCAACATTATCTCATTGCCCCACCCTTTTCCCCTCTCATATTCCACAAGGCTGGTAGACAGACATCACTAACTGCTCTACTGATAAGGAAATAAACACTCATGGAAGTAGTACTCCAGCCAGGGTAGGGAATTACGTGCTCCAAACCAGCAACCTGTGCCTCCGGGTCTGTTACTTGCACAAACATGGACACCCGTGAGTTTGTAGACATGCCCACTTGGAAATCTACACATGGACACAGAAGAGGCAGTTAACCATCACAGGGAGGGGCACCAGGCTTGGATCCCACCTTGGTGACATACAGATTGTGTATCCCCAGGCAAGGTACCTGACCACACAGTCTGGGTTTCCTCATTTATGAAATGAGGCTAAAAATAGCATAGGTTCCAGAAGTTTCTACCTCAAAATGTTGAGCGTCTAACACCTAGCCCATAGTACATGTTCCATCAATAGCTGTTGAATGAACCAATGTGATGGTGAGGGTTAAATGAGAACAGTATTCATAGCCCCAGGATGCTCAATAAATGGTCACAGCTCTGCTTAGTGACAAATCTATATGCACCACATATGGAGGTAGATACACACACACACACACACACACACACACACACAGCTGTCAGCTCCACATGGGCAGGAGCCATATCTGACACAAAGCACTTGCTCATTACAAAACTGTGTGTTCATTTATGAATATACAACACACTCGTGCGTATAAACAAATAAGTGCAAACAGCTGATAAACTGGGTTGGGCTCCCCAAGGTCCTTGCAATTCTCTCTCTACATCCACTCAACCCCCAGAAGGAGCAGAACAGGTTGATCCAGACCTCAGATGATGAAATTCTGCTGGCTGTTTACTGGATTCCAGACCACCACCACCCATACATATCAAAGACCCGCATCGTTTCACTCCCTGGGCTGTGACTCCAGGGTCCCATAAGGTGACCCAGGCTAGAGGTGCCATAGAAAATGTCCCTGCTGGGCCAGGCATGGTGGCTCACACCTGTAATCCTAGCACTTTGGGAGGCCGAGGCAGGCAGATCTCCTAAGGTCAGGAGTTCGAGACCAGCCTGGCCAACAGGGCAAAACCCCGTCTCTACTAAAAATAAAAAAAAAAAAAATTAGCTGGATATGGTGATACATGCCTGTAATTCCAGCTACTCGGGAGGCTGAGGCAGGAGAATCGCTTGAACCCGGGAGGCGGAGGTAGTAATGAGCCAAGATCGCGCCATTGCACTCCAGCATGGGGGACAAAGCAAGACTCCCTCTCGGAAAAAAAAAAAAGAAAAGAAAAGAAAATGTCCCTACTTAAGATGTAGAGGAGCAAGGGGCAGTGATATCCTCAATGCGCATATCAGGTGGCGTTTGAGCACCTGAGGAGTTTCAGGGACTGCTGCCCTTGAATTGCTGAGATGAGGTTCTACCTTTGAACAAAGATGGTCCGTGCATTTGGAAGGAAAGAGCTGACAGATGTTCCACCGCCCTGCACAAAGGGAGGGCTTATGCTCAACCAGGTCCTGGCCATTCCCATGGGCAGAGCAGGCAGCCACTGGGCACTGCCAGCTTTTCCCAATATCTCCTCCGAGTCCCCACAGCCCCTTGGCTCTGTGCACAGGCGAGGCCGCCTCTAAAGCCAAGAAGGCAATGACCCAACTCTGGAGGAGGGGGAGATGACTCAAGCTACAGCACACAAGGCCTTCTCAGGGCCGCCTTGACCATGCCGGCCTCAATCCCAGGCAGTTGCCTTCACCACACCAAGGTAGAGTACTCGGCACTTGGACAGTGGCGTCAGAACAAGGGTGGAGGCCATGTCCTCTCGGCATGACATCAACTAACAGCCTGGCTCCTTGGCCCTGAAAGAGAATGAGCCAATGTCTGCCTCTGGCCATGCAAAACCAATCCTCATTTAGTCTGTGGAAACAGTACATGGAAGGCCAGATGTAGCCTTTGGCTTGAAGAACTGAGTTTGCTCAACAGACACACGTTTTCCATTCAACACTCTTTCTGATTTGGTTGCGGTTGTACTGCTGTTGTTTAAAGGAGGGAGGGATTAAACCACCCTTTTTGAGAGGATAAATGTGTGGTGGGTCTGTATATGTTGATGACAGACAGATACACACACACATATGGTAGATGTTAACGAGCCCATTTTATTGATGGGCACACTGAGGATTGACCAGGTGAATGACTTATCTCAGATTGAGTCCACAGCCAGGACTCAAACCAAGATATAATTCCACTGTCCACTTTTCCCCACCACACTGTGGTATAAGGCCTAAAATTAATATTATGTGCTGCCTTGACACCTGGGGAAAGCCAAGAGCATCTCATATGGCTTGAATGTAAGTTTCCCTAACTACTTTGCTTCCTCAAATAAGGTCCTCTAGCCAGACAGCCTCCTTTGTCTCAGCAAGACCAGGTACAGTGCCTGCCTATCCCTGGAGAGTGGGTTTCTGTTCCCTGCCAGCCTCTGGGATTATTTAAACAAGACAATCATATCCCCTTGTGGGACACAGGGATTATTGCATCTTCTTGCTTCTGCATAGCCTGCCTCCCATGGCCCCTGGATGTTCACCCTGTCCCCAGATACAACCGTGTGGCCCTGCATGGTGCACAGCACCTGCTTCCCTGGGGCTGACTGTACGTGACACATAAACTGCTGTCCATCTGGTCTGTCCAGCTTTGGGTGTTATCCCCATAGGGTGGGAATCTACTTCAACCATGGGGTGAAGTGGAGGCGATCAAAACACACACCAGGCTGGGTGTAGTGGCTCATGCCTATAATCCCAGCACTTTGGAAGGCTGAAGCGGGCAGATCACTTGAGGTCAGGAGTTTGAGACCAGCCTGGCCAGCATGGGGAAACCCTGACTCTACTAAAAATACAAAAATTAGCCGGGCGTGGTGGTGTGCTCCTGTAATCCCAGCTACTCGGGAGGCTGAGGCAGAAGAATCACTTGGACCCGGGAAGCGGAGGTTGCAGTGAGCCAAGATCGTGCCACTGCGCTCCAGCCTGGGTGACAGAGCCAGAGTCCATCACACACATACACACACACACACACACACACACACACACACACACACACACACGGCTTCCTGAGCAAAGTGGGACTATTACAATTTCCACAGAATGATATTCCAAAGTCCCTCTCTAGAGGTCAGCTTGCAACACACCTCCCCACAGGTGGACACTGGTCAGTTTTGGAAGAGACAGGAGCCAAGGACTCTGGCCTTCAGATAACTAAACCTCAAGTTCATTCCTAGACTGGCCATTTATAGTCATCCAGTAGATACTCCATCATTCCATTGTCACTCTTCCACCTGTCTGTCCGCAGGAGCTCCGAATTCTGCAACCTCCGCCTTTCCGTGTGTAGCTCAAGCAGAATCCAGAGAGGGCATGAGCAGTGGGTAACAAGGGCAGAGTGTTTGCAAACCCAGGAAGAGGTGACGGCACAGGCAATTAGAGGCAGAACCCTGATTAACTGAGCCCAACTAACCAGAACCATCAATTAACTCAAATCTTTTTTTTTTCTTCCCTCTCAGGAGACTGAGGCCAGGAATTGAGAAAATCACAATTTAAAATGGAAAAAAAACTGTGTTCCGGGCTTTTCTCTGGCTCAACTCTGACCCAGGTCCATTTCCTTCATCCTCATTCAAGACACATGTACAACTTCAAATTTTCTAGTAGCTGTGTTTTTTAAAAAAGTAAAAAGAAATTGATTAATCTATTTGATTTAACCAAATACATCCTAAATATTGTCATTTCATCATGTGATCCATATGGAAAAAGTATCAAATCTAAACAAATATGAAAAAGCATTAAGGAGATGTTTTATATTCTTTTGTTTGAGCTAAGTTTTTCCTAGAGCACAGCTCAGTTGGAACTGGCTGCATTTCAAGTGCTCAGTAACCCTGTGTGGCTGGTGGCTACCATATGGGACAGCACAGATCTGGAGCTAAAGTGTGAAGTGATTGTTTAGAATGATGATTCTGGAGGGTTGCTAGGGTTTCAACGTCCATGTCACCTCCAAAATTCATGTTGAAATTAATTAATTAATTAATTTAATTTATTTTTTTTTTTTTTGAGATGAAGTCTCACTCTGCCGCCCAGGCTGGAGTGCAGTGGAGCCATCTGGGCTCACTGCAACCTCTGCCTCCCGAGTTCAAGCAATTCTCCTGCCCCGGCCTCCCAAGTAACTGGGATTACAGGCATGTACCACCATGCCTGGCCCATTTTTGTATTTTTAGTAGAGATGGGGTTTCACCATGTTGGCCAGACTGGTCTCGAACTCCTGACTTCAAGTGATCTGCCCACCTCGGCCTCCCAAAGTGCTGGGATTAAAACTGTGAGCCACACGCCCGGCCTCATGTTGAAATTTAATCCCCAAGGGAAGAGTATTAAGTGGTGGGTCCTTTAGGAGGTGATCAGGCCAGAAGAGTTCCGCTATCATGCATGGGGTTAGTCCCTTACAAAAGGTATGGAGAGAACTAAGTAAACCCCTTTTGCCCTTCCATCCCTTTCACCATGTGAGGTCACAGAGTTCATCCCCTACAAATAATACAGTGACAAGGCACCATCTCGGAAGCAGAGAGCAACCCTCACCAGACCCCAAACCTGCTGGCACCTTGATCTTGGACTTCCCAGCTTTCAGAACTGTGAGCAATACATTTCTGTTGCCTGTAACTTACTCAGCAGCATAAACAACTTAGGCCGGGGCTTTAAAACAAATTGGTCACTAGTGAGTAACTGCGTGCTAAGTGTTTCCTCCCAACAGTGCCTCATGATTGACAAACTGGTCTTGGGCTTACACGGGTCTATGACGTCCTGGAGTACAGACTGCCAAGTCCCTTCTCTACAGCCAGGGCCTTTCTTCACAGGAAAGTGACTGCAGTAAGAGCCACCTGCCATGACCTCCACCCCATTAATTACCTCTTTGTCTGATTTGCAATATGCAAGCCTTCTCCATACCTTCCACCTAAATGATGAATTCACACTTCAGACCAAAAAAAAAAAGGAAATTATTTGAAAAGGCCATTTTTCTACTAACCACCCAGGAATGTGTAGGTGTAGCATTTAATAGTGCCTACAAAGTCCCTCCCCGAGGGGACCTTGCAGTCTAGCAAGGACAGTGAGAAGTACACATTTAAAAAAAGATCTACTATTATCCTGGCTAACATGGTGAAATCCCGTCTCTACTAAAAATACAAAAAATTAGCCAGGCGTGGTGGCAGGTGCCTGTAGTCCCAGCTACTCGGGAGGCTGAGGCAGGAGAATGGCGTGAACCTAGGAGGCGGAGCTTGCAGTGAGCTGAGATCGCACCACTGCATTCCAGCCTGGGCGACAGAGCGAGACTCCATCTCAAAAAACAAAAACAAAAAAAAGATCAACTATTTATGGGTCCAATAAAAACTAGCTACTGGGCCAGGCGTGGTGGTTCACACCTATAATCCCAGCACTCTAGGAGGCTGAGGTGGGTGGATTGCTTGAAGCCAGGAGTTCGAAATGAGCCTGGCCAACATGGCATAACCCCATGTCTACTCAAAAATACAAAAATCAGCCGGGCATGGTGGCGGGTGCCTCTAATCCCAGCTACTCAGGAGGCTGAGGCACAAGACTCAACTGAACGCGGGGACGTTGCAGTGAGCTGAGATTGCGCCACTGCACCCAGCCTGGGCGACAGAGTGAGACTCTGTCTCAAAAAAACAAAAAAACAATAACAAACAAAAAAAAAACTACCTACTGGCCACCTGGAACAAGGGTTAACCAACATATGAGGCAGCCCCTTTTATTGGTGAGAAAACCGAGATCAGAAAAATGAATGAATTACTATCCACATGCTCCCACAGGAACTGCAGAAGAGCGCAGCCCAGAACACAGGAAGCCTTCCCATTTTAAAATCATTCATCGAGTGTAATCCCAGCACTTCGGGAGGCCAAGGCAGGCAGATCACCTGAGGTCAGGAGTTCAGGACCACCCTGACCAACATGGAGAAACCATATCTCTACTAAAAATACAAAATTAGCGGGGCATGGTGGCGGGCGCCTGTAATCAATCACAGCTACTCAGGAGGGTGAGGCAGGAGAATCGCTTTAACCCGGAAGGCAGAAGTTGCAGTGAGCCGAGATAGCGTCATTGCACTCTAGCCTGGGCAACGAGAGCAAAACTCCATCTCAAAAAAAAAAAAAAAAATCATTCATTGAGTAACTTTTCCATTTTTTGCCCTATCCATGTAATGTCTGTTGTTTTATTTATTTTTCAGGGCTCTTTAAATCAGCTCATCTATATTTTTACTTCAATGGCTTAATTTAAAAGGGAAACATTACTCCTAAATTAGTGGAAAAACTAGTATAATTTGCTATAAATGGAAGGTAACTAGAAAAATAAACAGAGAGCTATTAATTTCTATAAAGTCTGTGGAGTTATAGCTTAAAATCATCTTGTGAGTCACCAGTTTGCATGTGACACTTTGGAAAAGGCTGCAACAGAGAAGTTGAGACCTACGCTTTGCCTGGCTGGCTGGCAAGACTTTGTAAAGGAAGAAGAGGAAAGGTGTCCCAGGTGTGTGCACAGCATGGAGAAACGTGCGGAGGTGGATGGAGGGCAGAGCGTGGAAGGCAGAGAGGAAACTGATACCTACCTGATTAAATCACCGAAGCACATTCAGTTCCGTGCCATGGATTTAACATGGACTAACACACTTTGGAAATACTTTCAAAGCAAGGTCTGCAACAATAGTGTTTTTGTAACTCCTAGTTAACAAGAAAAACAACAGATCCAAGCCCCCACGGCGGTTCCCCAGTGTTTCCCAATACTGTCATCTGATTCTGTTTTCTGTCAGGGAAATAAAATATCCCATTTCCTCCATGATGGTGAGTTCTGAATGCAGCTGTCCACGGTCAGGGGAGATGGAGAGGAAAGAAGCCAAAAAGCAGCAGGCAGGCAAAGGCCAGTGAGAAGATGTTGACTCTGGGGCCCCGTCCTTCACTACTGTGTGGTTGCGGGTGTGGGTATGGATGTGGATATGGATGCGTGTACAGATGCAGGTGTGGGTGTGCATGCATGTGTGTGAGAGAGAAAACCTCCTCCTCCTAGGCTCACCCCAGGCCATCAAAGAGACACACATACCTTGCAGAAAGTCAACTTCTACACTGGTTGGGGCAAGTCCAGCCCGTCCGAATCCCACAGGGAAGGGCCACCATGGCTTCTACCCCAGCCGAGCTGACATCCCCAAACACAGGGACTTTCGTATGTGTGTCCGACTGGCCTTGCTCCCTGCCAGTGGCTGCCTCTTCAGGGGCCAGAAACCCTGATCGTGTCAAGCAGTCCTAGAAAAAATGCTCACCCGCTTTCTCAGATGAAGTGCAGTAGGGCTCCCTGGCCTGCACAAGCCAGTGACCATTTTTTTAAAAGCCCTTGGAAAAGAAAGGCATATATTCTGCAACACAATATTTGGTGGACACTATCATAGCATTTTGTAAGATCGTATGTAACCCCAACTGTGGCTCTGAACAAAAAAATATTATTCAGCCCCAGAAAGGCATATAAATCCCTACAAAGTACAGGGTGGGTTTTTTGGGTTTTTTTAAGTGGTTAAATTCTCACAATTTTTTGCCTTTGTTCAGTGCAGGGAGACAGTGGTCTGCAAAGGTGGTAACACTGACTTCCTGAGAATCTTTTTTCTTTGAGACAGGGTCTTACTCTGTCACCCAGGCTAAAGTGCAGTGGTGCAGTCATGGCTCATTGTAGCCTCCACCTCCTGGGTTCAAGCCAGCCTCCCACTTCAGCCTCCCAGGTAGCTGGAACTATAAGCACATGCCACCACACCCAGCTAATTTTTTATAGAGATGAGAGGGGGTCTCACTGCATTGCCCAGGCTGGTCTCAAACTCTAGGGCTCAAGCGATTGGCCAGCCTCAGCCTCCCAAAGTGCTAGGATTACAGGCGTGAGCCACCATGCCCGGCCTCCTGAGAACCTTTAATTGAACTTGCAGCATTGCAATTCAGCCCAAGCTCCTTGGGTGCAGGACTTCACGTTGCTAAATCCAGGGAAGCCTACCTTGGTTACCTGGGAAAATGGTGTGGGAGGTTCCTTAGATCTCTCCCTAGCCACCTGCTCCTTAAAAACATCACAAGAGGTTGTGGGACCACAAACCCTTGTCTCCGAGAATTCCTTCTTCTCTCCAAACTTGCCCTATTCACACATTCCCGATCTTATTTTTTCCTGAGTCCTACTTTGTCTGTTCCACATTTTTTCTTTTTCTTTTTTTTTTTTTTTGTGAGACAGAGTCTTGCTCTGTCACCCAGGCTGGAGCGCAGTGACGCCATCTCGGCTCACTCCAGCTTCTGTCTCCAGGGTTCAAGTGATTCTTCTCAGCCTCCCGAGTAGCTGTGATTACAGGCATGCGCCACCACGTCCGGCTAATTTTTGTATTTTTAGTAGAAACGGGGTTTCGCCATGTTGGCCAGGCTGGTCTTGAACTCCTGACCTCACCCACCTCGGCCTCCCAAAGTGCTGGGATTATAGGCGTGAGCCACCGCACCCGGCCCCCGTTCTACATTTTAATGGCCCTCAAATCTGTCCCCTCCTTTCCTTTCCCACTTTCCCTGTCCCAGTTCAGGCCTTTATCATAACTCCCCTGAACTGAATGTCCCCTTTTCTGATTCCTTGCCTCTAGGCTCACTTCTGCAATCCATTCCCCACGAAGCAGCCAGAGTGATCATCTCAAACTGATCTTGGACCATGCTCTTCTGCTCCTCAAACATCTTCAGTGGCTCCCCATTACCTACACGATACATCTGAAGCTCCCTGATGTGGTCTACAGTACCTGGGCCTGTGCCTGCCTTATCAGTCCCATCCCCTGCCAAGGCCTGCTCCTCTCTTTTACATCTGACACTTTGGAAAAGGCTGCAACAAAGGAGAAGTTGAAACCTACGCTTTGCCGGGCTGGCTGGAAAGACTTTATAAAGGAAGAGGAGCCTTGTGCTCCATGAATATTGTATTTCTTGTGATTTTCTGACAAGGCTCAATATTTTCATCTCTGTTCTCTGTCGGGAATGGTCTTTCGTGTCCCCTTATCCTGGTCATTCGTGGCCTGCTCACATTCACCCTTTTTTTTGGGACGGAGTCTCGCTCTGTTGCCCAGGCTGGAGTGCAGTTAGTTCAAGCAATGCTCCCGTCTCAGCTTCCAAAGTAGCTGGGACTACAGGTGCCCACCACCACAACTAACTAATTTTTGCATTTTTAGTAGAGACGGGCTTTCACCATATTGGTCAGGCTGGTCTTAAACTCCTGACTTCAGGTGATCCACCCACTTCGGCCTCCCAAAGTGCTGGGATTATCATTCACCCGTTAAGGTCATGCTGTGGGCAACAGCTCCTCCAGGAAGCCTTCCAGGAGTGTTCTAGGTTATACTGCCCACTCCTACATGATCACAGAACTGATAACACTCCGCAAGGGAGAAACATCAGAAATCTATCTTACAAAAATTCAACTATAAACAGTCAGGAGGGAAAAAAGAGAGAGATAGATGGTGACACAAATCATTTAAATAATGTGGAATCCTGTGCACCACTTGACTCTGTGAGTATATACCCTGTGATGAACATCTTGCTATGATTTCTCTCTCCATCTAGCCCAGAGTCATTTTTCTGGAATCTGTGAGTTTGGGGATCTATGGAGAGAGAATTCTGGGGGTCTTCGAACTTGTACATACCCGCTGATGAACTTGTACATATTCATAATTATTTTCACTAACTCTAACTGAAATTTAGCATGACCTTCAATTATGAATATAGGCAACAGACTGCAGTAGTATTAGCAACACCCGAGACTTTGACACCAACAGAAATTGCAGATATTTTCATGTCACATTGCTTTGGTGGCAGATGTCTCCAAATATTGTTTATACTTGTCATTACTTCAAAATTAGGGTAGTTATTAGACCTGATGCCAAATCTACTTTAATGTGTTAATAAAGAAGCAAATGTATTATTACTCCACAGTTTTCTGATTTTTATATATACTTTGACGGCTGTACTTCAATATAACCACTTTCCTTTTTAATCCTCTGCATTTTTTTGCATTTGAAAATATTCAGAGAAGGGGAGCATAATTTTGACCAGATTCCGAAGGGATTTACAACACAGAGAAGGTGACACTATCCTGCTGTAGACAGTGAGCTCACTGGTGGCAGGGCACCAGGTCCTTCATCTTCCAATCCCCAGCACCTAAAGCAGTGGTTAGTATACAATAGGAATTTTTAAAAAATGAACTGAGATATTTTATCTATCTATCCTTTTTTCCCTCCTTCCTTCTTCCTTCCTTCCCTCCTTCCGTCTTTTCTCCCTTCCATCTGTGTATCCATCATCATCCATCCATCACCTATCCATCCATCCATTCATCCATCCTCCATCCATCATCTATCCCTCCATCATACATCCATCCATGATGCATCCATCACCCCTTGTCCACCCATCCCTCTATCCATCCACCCATCCCTCTATCCATCCACCCATTCGTCCACCCATCTATTATCCACTCATTTATCTACCCACTCACCTCTCTATCCATCTGCCCACCCATCCACCCACCCATCCTGTATCCACTCATCCCTCTATCCATCCGCCCATCCCTCCATCCAACATATATCCATCCATCTGATTCAATCTACAGTTCTAACAGTTGACACCTCTGCAGTTGGTTTCCCAGATCCAGTTCTGCAGCTCAACTGGAGACTCCCTAAGAAGGAAAAGTGACTCACTGTGGAAAGAGGTGATACTATTTCCTTGTATGGCCGTGGGCATGTCACAGAATGTGCCTGCAGCTCAGCTGTCTTTCACAGGCTGAACACAGAGCTCTGTCTCCAGCTGCCACCACATGGGCTGGGGCCCCAAGCTCAGGCAGAGCGCCATGCCTGTGTTCAGATCATTTCCTTACCCAGGAACATTTTGGTTTTCTGCTTTCGAGGTATCACAGAATGGTTAAATCTTAAAGAACAATCGCCACCATTACCAATTACACAAACTGCACAGAATGGTAGTTAAGAGTTCTGCGTAGGTCCAAAGACCAGCTCCCCACTCACTCTCTATATGACCTTGGGTGACTCAGTTAACCCTTTCCTCTCTGTGCCTCAGTTTTGCTATTTGAAAGAGGGCATAACAACCATACCTCACTTACACAGGTTTATGGGGAGATTAAAGAGAATCTTCCTTATGGGAAGACTGAGTTAATCCATGCACTGCACTTAGCACAGGGGCTGGCACATAGTAAATGCTCAACAATTTTTAGCCATCATTATCCATCATTTCCTCCAAGGAGGCAGACAATCAGAACATTAGGACCCAGAATCCTGAAAAATGGAGCTATGGAATTCACAAATACCCCATGTAAAAAAATGCTTAGATCCACTCATATCTAAAATTCAAATCAAGGCAGCAAGATACTGTTTTTACTCATTGGTTTGTCGAAGATTATAAAGATGGACAATCACCAGTGCCTTTGAAAGAGGAAACAGGAAACCACGTAAGGCTTTGACCGGAGATGTGAAGAAACCTCCTCATAGGACAATATAAAATTTAAAATGCACACACCCTTTGAGCCAGTGATGTTAAATCTAGTCACTTACCCTACAGAGGTACATACCCAATCGAGCAAAGGTGTATTTACAAGAATGGCTAAAGGCAGCATAGTTTAAAATAGGGGGAAAAAAACCAATCTAAATGTCTACCAACAGGAAATCAGTGAAATAGATGATGAAATATTTAGTGCATTTAATTAATCTTTATTGAACAGCTACTACATCCCAGAGACTGTGACAGGTGCTGAAAACAGAACTGGACAAAATAGAAAAGTTAAAAATAACGACGAAGAATGATATGTGCTGACAGGAGATGAGTGATAAGATAGAGAGGAAAAGCAAGTTACCATAAAATATGTTTCAGAAAATACATGTCATAAAATATGATGTTCCATTTCAAGGAAACAGGTTCCTGCCAATATGCACATGAATACACTCATGTACACATATTAAATTGGTGCACAAAGTAATTGCAGTTCTTGCCATTACTTTTAAATGGCAAAAACTTCAATAACTTGTGCACCGACATAATACAAGTTAAAATGCAAAGGAAAAATCTGGAAGTAGTAGCAAAAAAAAAATTAACAGCAGTTATCTCTGAAGAATAGGTATAGGAAGTGATGTGCTTTTGAATCATTTAATTGTTTTCATCATGTGCTTGTATTGCATTAATCCTCTGTAGGTCCCGTATGCTCTATCTCCTTTCAGAACACATCCAGCATCAAACTATTTCATTTTTAATTTTTGTGTACACGGAGTAGGTATAAACTACTTCTTTTGGCTTTCACTATTAACACTCTGGTCCAAACCACCCCTGCATGTCCCCTAACAGATTACAACATCCTTCCCCCTCACCCATCTCCCTGTTCTTGCCCTTGACCCATTACAGTACATTTTCAGCAGGGCAGCCACCAATCCCATTTTCCAAGGCAAGGCCATGTCATTCCTCTGTTTAAAATCCTCTGAAGACTTCCCAGTGTGGAGTGAAGCAAGGACCCTTCTAAGTTTCCCAAGGTTCTAATGATCTAGCTTCACCTCCACCGCCCCTCTCTCCCTTACTCATGCTGTTCTAGCCACACCAGGCTCTGCTGGCAACCAACACACCAACCACATTCTATCTCAGGGCCTTTGCCCTGGCTGCTCCTGTTCCTTCCTCTTTCTGCAGAGCTCCACCACTCATGCTTTTGAGATCTTTGCTCAAACACTGCTGCATGGAATTGTCTCCACCAAAGGAAAAGGGCAACCTATCTCCAACTGGCCTTACCTAGCCCACAGTCCTCCCCTGCTTTGCTCTCCCATGCTCTCATCGCCATCTGACATGACATATCAACATGCATTTCTCGGTTGGGCGTGGCGGCTCATGCCTGTAATCCCAGCACTTTGGGAGGCCGAGACAGGCAGATCCCATGAGGTTGGGAGTTCGAGACCAGCCGGGCCAACATGGTGAAACCCCATCTCTACTAAAAGTACAAAAATTAGTTGGGCGAGGTGGCGCGTGCCTGTAATCCCAGCTACCCAGGAGGCTGAGGCAGGAGAATCGCTGGAACCCGGGAGACGGAGGTTGCAGTGAGCCGAGATCGCACCATTGCACTCCAGCCTGGGCAACAGAGAGAGACCCTGTCTCAAAAAAAAACACATGCGTTTCTCATTTACTACCTGTATAGAATGTGTGCTCAGAAGAGTAAGAATTTCTGTCATGTTGGCTGTTGTATCTCCAGCTCCTAAAACAGTATCCAGAACGTAGTAGGCACTCAACACATATTTATTGAATACACTGATCAATATTATCACATGATAATATGATATGCTATTGATAATTGCGATGATGAAAAGCAAATCCAGAAAAAAACTTCGAGTCCCTAAAGAAAAATGTTTATAAAAACAAAACATAAATTTTGAAAAAACATGTTTCCAGTCACAGCTGCCCGCAGAGAACAGGGTGGAACACCCAACAAGAAAGTAACACGTAAACACCTCACGGCCAACATGGCACACAGCAGCCTGGTTGTCTCAGGCAGCTGCTCTGCACACAGGACCCTTTCACAGAGTCCAGGGAGTAAATGCCAGCAAGGGTTGAACATGTTACAACGTCAGCCCCTGAAGCCACAGACTATTTTCGGGTGTCAGGCAAACCCACAATCTCCTGTGACAGCCAAACTACTGCAGATCTGAAAACCGTCTCCCTGCGGTCTTTCAGGGGACAGGCCTCCGGGATTGTGCCACGAACTCCTCTTGCTTCACGGCACCCAGTGCCTGCTGCATCAACAGCGACTCAGGCATAGGTGGGCTTGGGGTCTCCATCCCCCAGATGTGAGCTGGAGGCCCTACATCCTTTTGTGCCTCAAGGTTGTGCTGGCGTTTTAGTTTTAAAATGAAAAAAAAGAATAATTTGAGACAGGATCTCGCTCTATCACCCAGGCTGGAGTGCAGTAGCGCAATCACAGCTCACTGCAACCTCCATCTCCTGGCCTCAAGTGATCCTCCCACCTCAGCCTCCCGAGTAGCTGGGACTAAAAGCACGGGCCACTACACGCAGATTATGTTTTATTTTTTTGTAGAGATGGTCTTGTTATATTGTTCGGGCTAGTCTCAAACTCCTGGCCTCAGGCAATCCTTCCACCTTGGCTTCCCAAAGTGTTGGCATTACAGGCATGAGCCACCATACCCAGTGTGCTTGGCTTTTTAAATGAGAAGAGGAATCAAGAGAGCGTTCTTCCGTACCTCATCACACCCACAGTGAAACACTTGGCACATGCTATCTTGTTTGTAACTCCAGGTCACATGAGGTCACTTGGAAGCAAAAAATTAAAGCCCAATGACATTTACAGGGAGGCGTTCAACCAGCAGACTTCACCTAAACGTCACCAGCTCCGTCTCATTACAGTCAACGGGTGTTGATTTTTACACATTCTCTGCTACCCATACTTGGTTAGGACCGTGGTTTTCAGCTCAGGGGTGCTTTTGCTCCCCAGAGATATTCGGCAATGTCCAGAGACATTTGTGAGACAACTGGAGGAGGGAGTGTCATTAAAATCTAGTGTGTACATGCCAGAGATGCTGCTAAACATTCTACAATGCAGAGAACAGCCTCACAACAAAGAATAATCCTGTCCCAGGCCGGGTGCCTGTAATCCCAGCACTTTGGGAGGCCAAGGCGGGCGGATCACGAGGTCAGGAGATTGAGACCATCCTGGCTAACACGGTGAAACCCCGTCTCTACTAAAAAATACAAAAAAAAAAAAAAAATTAGCCGGGCGTGGTGGCGGGCGCCTGTAGTCCCAGCTACTCAGGAGGCTGAGGCAGGAGAATGGCACGAACCCGGGAGGTGGAGCTTGCAGTGAGCCGAGATCACGCCATTGCACTCCATCCTGGGTGACAGAAGGAGACTCCATCTCAAAAAAAAAAAAAAAAGAATAATCCTGTCCCAAATGTCAGTAGTGCCCAGATCAAGTGACCCCAGGTTAGTCAGTCCACAGGGTAAACAAGGTTGCCCTGGGGAAGGGAGTCCCTTAAGCACTGTAGTGAGGCTGGAGGCAAAAGAATGGGGTTGATAAGATCTGGTACACCTTGGGGCTTTTGAGATGTGTCTTCGCAGCCAACTGTCTAAGGATTCTTTTTTTTTTTTTGAGACAGGTCTCTGTCACCCAAGCTGGAGTGCAGTGTGGTGATCTTGGCTCACTGCAACCTCTGCCTTCCGGATTCAAGTGATTCTCCTGCCTCAGCCTCCCGAGTAGCTGGGACTACAAGCATGCGCCACCACGCTTGGCTAATTTTTATATTTTTAGTAGAGACGGTGTTTCACCATGTTGGCCAGGCTGGTCTCAAACTCCTGGCCTCAAGTGATCTGCCTGCCTCAGCCTCCCAAAGTTCTAGGATTATACATAGGCGTGAGCCACTGCGCCCGGCCTAACACAGGCAAGTCCACTACCTGGCCATGTCTGAACATACCCCAGGCCAGAAAAGGAGCTTCCTCAGCCTGTGGGTGGCAGAGGTGAGACCCAAGGGGCCAGCTGTTGGCCCGTTTTTATTTCCTTAGAAGATGTCTCAGCCTCTGCTACTCTGACCACTCGTCATCCAGGCAGTTCTGGGCTTCACTCATGTGGTGACGACACAGTTCATCTCTGAACTGCACGCAGGCAAAAAATGTCCCAGCTTGCTCTTGAGACAAGCACCTAGTTTGGCTGCCAAAAACATCCTGGTATTTCAACTCGTGCTGCTTCCCTCTCTGTAAAGAGGAAACCAGCTACCTAAACAGAGGAGGAGGAACATTCCAGAGAAGGCACAAAGCAAATCCCTGCAGAGAATGCCAAAGTCTTTGCCCTCTCTGTGGCACAGGGATGCAGGAGGCAGTGCATGGAGGCACGGAGGCTGGAGAGCCTCTGCTCCCCAAGCCTGCTACTTCCACAAGAGAGAAAAGGCAGGGGGTGACGCAGCTTGCATTCACAAGTGACAAGAGGGTGTCTCCAGCTTATCCTCTTAGCAGTCCTCATGGCTGCTTTAACTAGTTGGGAAGCTGAAGCTCAGAAGCTAAAAGCCTTTCTCAAAGGTGATGCACTGAGCAAGTGAAAGAGTTGGGATTCAAACGTAGGACTATGAAAGTAATACTAAGTGCTTAGGTGCCAGGCACTGTTCTGTTGCTTAATGCACGTTAACCCATCTGATCATCCCAACAAGTCTAGGAGGTGGCTACTGCTGTTACTTCAACCGTTTTTATTTATTATTATTATTTTTGAGAGAGAGTCTCGCTCTGTCACCCATGGTGGAGTACAGTGGCTTGATCTCGGCTCACTGCAACCTCCATTTCCTGGGTTCAAGTGATTCTCCTGCCTCAGCCTCCCGAGTAGCTGGGATTATAGGCGTGTGCCACCACACGTGGCTAATTTTTGTATTTTTAGTAAAGACGGGGTCTCGCCATGTTGGTCAGGCTGGTCTTGAACACCTGACCCCAGGTGATCCACCTGCCTTGGCCTCCCAAAGTGCTGGGATTACAGGCGTGAGCCACCGAGCCCGGCCTACTCTGACCATTTTTTAAAGAAACTGAGGCACAAAGGGATCGCTGGCGTGTGGAAGGTCTCACAGCAGCTAAGTGGTGAGCCAGGGGGTCTGCTGCATAGACCATGACCTGCCCCCACGAGGCCCGTTCTCACCTCCCCAAGGGGCTGCTTGGGGTTACCAGGTCCAGACTGCCCTTGTCCACTTTGCAGGTGAGACCCTAGGAGGATCCAGAGTCCTGAGTGTGCAGGGGACAGGACAAACAATACCCAGGGGACTGTCACTGAGGTGAATGAACGCAGCAGGCCAGGTGGGGACTTCTATGAACCAGTGACCCCATCCCGAGGCCCCATGCAAAGGGGCAGCTGGTGGTCACCAGTCATGGACATCCAGCAGCTCAGAGTGGTTTTACCTATCAGTTTTTCAAAAATCTTCCAACCCCACTCTTCCCCTCTCTAAAAATTTAAAAAATTTAAAAATCTTCCTGAGGCCAAAGGCAACCCATGTGCAGGTCAGAGATGGCCACGAGGAGGCCCATGGCACAACTTTGAGTCCAGGGCCATGAAATGAGAAAGTCACCTCCTGCTCCCATAACTGGTGCCTGATTCTAACTGGGCCAGTGAACGTGGAGACTGGTCATCTGACCAAGAACTCTCTTTGAGCCCGTTTTATAGCTGGAAGTTCCTTCTTCTAGCATTGAGCTGGCTGGGTTTTTCCTTCTCAGGACAATAAAACTGCATTTCTGTCCTCGACCCCACCCATCTGGCACCTGCACCACAGCTAACTTCAGCTTTCCACCCAGTTCTCTTTTGTTCAGTGGAAAAAATGAGCTACAGTTCCCAGAAGAAAATGAGAACGGGGTTATTATTAATAAGATACTCTTTTTCAGAAAGGCAGTTGAAGGCAGCGGGGAAGATCACATTGAGGGGGGAGCCGGGGTAGCCCCACTGCTACTCCCTCCTGCAGGACCACCTGGTCTGGAGAAGCAGCTACGCGCTGGCCCTCCCTGTTGGCTCTCAGAGGTACAAACCAGAGGTGGCGGCATTTCTAAGAAATTAGATTCAAATACTAGGACAGTTAACATTTCCTGGAGGTGTGACCGAGAACCAAGAAAAAGTGATTTTGTGAAGGCCTTGCTTGCAGGCAGAAATAACCTGTCTTCTCTGTCTGTCTGTCTGCTCTGGGGGCTACCGGAAGGAGCTGAAGGCCTGTCCCCCGCCTCTCCCCACCCCACCATGCCCTAGGCCTTAGTCCCTCCCCACTGAAGAATGCCTTTACCAACTTGGGACAGACAGAGGAGTATGAATGAATGAGAATACTCCAAGCTGACCCTGCCTGGGGCATCTCTTCTCACACATGTGGCTTCTCTGGTGCTTTATTTAGCATGAGACTGTTTAGAATGTTTATTTTTGGCTCAGTTTTGGGGGACAGTTTTCACAAATAGAATGACAGCTATGATCTTCTCTCTAAAAAAAGAGCTCGTACAATCCACCGTTGGGCATTCAGTTTCAAGAGCTTCACTGTCCCATGGTCTCCATTCTGGGACCTCTCCTCCACTGGAAGACCCTCTCCTTTAATCAAAACATGACACAAGATGACAGTGACTCCCCATGGCAAGTCCCATTGGCAGTGCTGAGCCAGCGAGGCGGGGGCCCGGTCAGGGTCCCTGAAGGAAAGAGATGTTACTCTCCAAACTGAAGAGACTGTACAAAGAGATTCTTTATAAGGAAAACTAACAAGGGAGGTGCTATGCACCAGGGCTGGCCACAGCCAGGAGCTGTCACCACCCTGGGGCCTGAAGGGGAGGGAGTGGTGTTCCTGGACCACGGAGACAGTAGCTGCAGCCACGGGAGAGGGCAGCCCCACAGCAGCTGTGGCCTTGCTAGGGGTACAGACACAGCCAACCCATGGAAACCCTCATCTCATCTCTTCCCACCTTCCTATCTCCTACCAGTTCCTCTACTTGGCCAAAGCAAAGAAAAGTCCTTGCTGATGAAACCCATCAAGGTTAGCCTCTGGAGGCCCAGAGAAGAAAGGAGAGGGGTGGAGAGTGGATCTGGGGCTGGGGCTTGCGGGGGAAGAAGACACCCAACATGTTTCATCTTGCTAACACCCAACATGGAGACAGCAGGAGGAGGCACAAAGAGGGCGTGCGGGGCTGTGGATCTTCCACGCTGAGCCTCCACCTCCCACTATCCCTGAGCAGCAGAGGAATCCTGGTTTGCTACTGAGCTGCTGAACGACTGGGCAAATTGTTCAGCAGCTCTGGGTCCTGGTTTCCTTCCATGTCAAGTATAAAGATGGAACCCAACAGGCCCTAAGGTATGGGAGTCACAGCCAGCACTGCAGAAGAGGGAGGCCTAAGTGTGGGCCCTCTCAATGCCACTCCCAAACTCTGTGGTCTTGGACCAGGGACTGAGCCTCTCCATGCCTCAGTGTCTTCACTTGCAAAGGAAGGGTGTGAGAGCACCTTCGCCAAGGGATGTTGTTATGAGGAAACGAGGTCACGCATATAAAGTGTTGAGCAACATCCCAGGCACATAGAAAACATGCAATCACCCCTCCAGCTCTCACGTTCCCCAAGTTTGGGCCTTGTCTACGGATTTTTACATCCCTCATACACCTGGACCTCCCTCGTGCTGCTATCTTTTGTGAAAGCAATTTTCTTCATTGAATGATTCCATTAACTAGAACCTGCAAACCCAGCCTGAACATTCTAGCATCGAAACCTTCTCTTTTAAGCTCCGCAGTATGCACAGCCCTGCCCCAAAACCCCATGGAGAAGATCGCTTCAGCTTCAAAGATCTTGGTGCGTGTGCTATTTATGCCAAATGTTAGTGATGCCTCCTCGCTGAGCCTCCGGCTCGTAAGTCAATGCAAAACCAGCCACACTGCCTTGTTGCTCAGTGGCAGCACCACGGGCTTCTGCCTCAGTGCTTGAAGTCAATGGCGGTGGGGGTGCCCTGAGAGAAGATGCGTGTGCTGGAAGGGAAATGTGAGTATGGCCTCCTCAAGGTGCCACTGCTGTGCTCACCGTCTGCAGGGCAAACCGTGCCACAGCCTGGGGCTTCAGCTACTCATCCTAGAATCCACTCTGTATGGACAGATGTTTCCAAGCCCATGTGCTCTGGATTGCCAAGTGAGTGATCTATAGCAAGCAAGATCTAATCTATATCCACATCTAATACATATCAAATCTCTGTATCAATAAATAGATATCAAATCTCTATGTCAATTCTTTGTGTCAAATCTGTCTAGATCTAATCTCTAATCTCCTTCTATATCTTATTGATATCTCTACCTATCTTGTAACATAGCAGGGAAGGAGACAGATTTCATTTGTCACCTGGCTCTAGTTTAGATTCTATCACCTACTGACCGTACAACTTTTAAAAGGAAACTTGGTCTCTCTGGCTTTAGCAGGCTCCTCTGTAAAATGGGGTTAAGGTTAGTAACTCCCAGGGTTATTTCCCAATATATGAAAGCTAAACTGCTAGGTTCAAATCTTGCTGCCTTTGCTACCTGTTGGGCAAGTAACTTAACCTCTTTGCGCCTCAGTTTCTCATCTGTAAAACGGGGATGACAGTAATACTTCCCATAAGAGATAGTTGTGAAATGCAAATGAGCAAATCCATGTAAAGAACTTAATTTAGAAGAGGGACTCGCATGCAGTATAAATGCTTAATTCATGTTACATAAAAGTGCTAAATTTATGAATGCATGTCCAATGTACAGTTCCCATCTCAATGAAACATCTATTCAGTGTATGTAATCATTATTGACAAGAGTGATCTTTTTTTTTTAGACGGAGTCTCGCTCTGTTGCCCAGGCTGGAGTGCAGTGGTGCAATCTCAGCTCACTGCAAGCTCCGCCTCCCGGGTTCACGTCATTCTCCTACCTCAGCCTCCCAAATAGCTGGGACTACAGGCGCCCACCACCACACCCGGCTAATTTTTTTGTATTTTTAGTAGAGACGGGGTTTCACTGTGTTAGCCAAAATGGTCTCAATCTCCTGACCTCGTGATCCGCCTGCCTCGGCCTCCCAAAGTGGTGGGATTACAGGCGTGAGCCACCGTGCCCAGCCAAGAGTGATCATTTTAAGTGTTCTGAGTTAAGGGCTTAAATTCAAACTTTCAATGTCTTCGGTGAAGTCCACTCCCAACAAGAAGGGGGGAATGGTGATCTCAACACGATCTATTTTTTGAAATGGTGCATGTGGCTGCACTTTGGGGAACTTGCTGGCTATTTGCGGAATGTTGTATCACATCATTCACCCTGAGTCATACAGACTAGAGAAGATCCCATGGCCAGGAGATCGCAGATCCTCTCTGAGAATGACTCCATGCTCCAAGTCCAGACTCCCTGTCCATTGAGCCAAGTCTCTGCCCAGGCAGTGGTCTGGCTGGTCACCTCCCTGCCCCACCAGGGCTAACTAGAGAGGCAGCAAATCACAGCCAGAGGAAAAGATTATAGTAAAGCAATCTGGTCCCTCCCCAAACTAGCCTTCTCTGCCCCAGAGAGGTTCTTCTCCCATAAGGAGGCTGACGGGGGAAAAAAACATATGGGCTGAGAAGCAATTTAGTCTCACCATCCTCTCAACAGATGCTGGGCACCATAAGAATTAATGGGCTGGAGACTCAGGTAAGAGCCATTCAGAAGCTTCCCGATTACTCCAAAAACTGCTCTCTGTGGAGGAAAAGGTTAATCGAAGCCCAGAGCCGGAAGAACGGAGAGGAGACAGCAATTGTGTTAATCCCAGGAGAGGGGAAGAGCTTCACAAGAAAGAAGTTTGCACAAACAAGCCTGTGGTCTATCCCTGAAAGAAGAACCAGGCCTAAATATCAAGATATTTGAAAGATCTTCTCCATCAGTCCAGAGACCTTGGCAAACCCCTCTCCAAACCCCAGCCAAGTAGCTGGATTAAGAAAAAAAAATTTTTTTTTTAACTCTGCACATTCTTTGCACTAGTAAGCCATAAATCTCTTAGGAAACCATCTCCTGATGAGGTTTCTTCTCCCATAATGATCCAACAGAACTCAGTTTTTAAACACATGATGTACATGTTCCTGTGTATCATGGGTCATTGTGTACCCAGAGTCAGTCATGTCAATGCAGGTCTGGACACATTAGAAGATAAATGTGTCGGCCAGGCATGTGGCTCATGCCTGTAATCCCAGCACTTTTGGAGGCCAAGATGGATGGATCACGAGGTCATGAGTTCGAGAACAGCCTGGCCGACATGGTGAAACTCCATTTCTACTAAAAATACAAAAATTAGCCAGGTGTGGTGTCACATGCCTGTAATCCCAGCTACTCAGGAGACTGAGGCAGGAGAATTGCTTTAACCTGGGAGGCAGAGGTTGCAGTGAGCCAAGATCACACCATTGCATTCCAGCCTGGGTGACAGAGCAAGACTCTGTCTCAAAAAAAATAAATAAGTAAATAAATAAGATGAATGTGTCACAACCACAGCCTACAGCTGGTTAAAGTCTGAACTTAAACCAGAAAGGGTGATGTTTGAACATAAACAAGAGAACAAACAAGGAAGTTGCAATTGTATGGCTGGAAGTGTCTTTGTAAAATAAACTGTCCTCAGAACAAACGAAGTTACTCCAGGGTTTCCTAACCTTGCCACTACTGACATTTGAGGCTTTTTTTTTGGGGGGGGGTGCTTTCCTGTGCATTATGGGATGTTTAGTAGCATCCCTGATCTCTACCCACTAGATGCCAGTAGCATCCTTCACCCCGAAGTTATAATAATCACAAATGTTGGGCCAGGTACAGTGGCTCATGCCTGCAATTCCAGCACTTTGCGAGGCTGAGGCGGGCGGACTGCTTGAGCCCAGAAGTTCAAGACCAGTCGGGGCAACATAGCAAAATCCCACCTCTACAAAAATTACAAAAATTAGCATACACCTGTAGTCCCAACTACTTGGGAGGCTGAGGTGGGAGCCCAGGAGGTTGAAGCTGCAGTGAACCGAGATGGAGTCACTGCACTTCCAGCCTGGTTGACAGAGTGACAGAGCAAGACTCTCTCAAAAAGAAAAGGAAAAAGTCTCAGGTGATTGTCAGATGTCTCCTTGGCGGTCAAAATTGACCTAGTTGAGAACTACTGGTTTATACTTAAGTTTAAGTTCAGCTGAACATCAGTCAGCTAATTAGCTATTAGCCAAATTTCAGACATCAGCCCCCAGCTCAGCATAACATTGCTAAGATCTAAAGTTCCTCCAGCCTTCCAAATGCTCACATCAGACATTAGTTTCACTGGATGGCCCTGAATTTAAGCCTCTCTCCTTCTCTCCTACCTCCTTAGTCCTTTTCTTTCTCCCCTGCCTGATAAAGTAATTCTTTATTCATCTTGACATTATAATGACACAAAAGCACTGAAGGAGCAAATGCCTTAATTGAATCTAAGAATAACTGGCATTATTTTTATAGGAACCCAGACATACTACGCAAAAAATTCAGAACTCTGTCATTGGGTCTTTTTGCAAGGTTAACTTTTAACTGTAAGCTCCTCAGCACATCTCACCTCCTGGGCTCAGAAGCTCAAACCTCATCTCTCCAGCTCAGATTCCCCCACTACCTGGGAGATTTTACAACCACCTCCACTCTACCCAGTCACTCTCTTACAAACATGTTTGTCTTATTTCCATCCACTTATTACTATCTGAAGTTACGGATGCATTTATTAATATCTATTTGTACCTTTTTCATCTGACTCTCCTAGAATGGATGCTTTCTAGGCAAGGAAACTTCTGTTTTTCTCTGCTGTATCTTTCACAGTTAGCACAAGGCCTTGTCTCCACATGGCCCAATAGTGATTTACGGAATAAGGAAATAGATGAATCCCTTTACATAGATACAATTTCTCAAGTATTAACTTCCATTCATATCACTACTCATTTGCTACAGGAGCCCTGTTCACAATCATCATGGCCCCAGCATCATCTTTAAATCATGTGAATGTCATTCCCTTCCCTCTAACCCAAGTTAGCTGATCAAAGAAATTCAAGTATCTGGTTGGTTTTGAAAACCCAGAAGTTGGGAGTTTTCCTCCTGATGCCTTTGATCTCCAGGTCCTGAGGGGGATCTCAGCATAAACGAAGACCTGCTTCCCTCTAACTCTAGCTGAGTTCACAAATACCCAGATTGACAAATCTTGACTCGGCAAAAGAGCTCCTTTATTATATCTCCCAACGTATCTCAGTGTTTGAGTGGAGGCCATTAGCTAATTGACAGAGAGCCTGTTGAGGGTGGGGGAAGTGAGGGCAGGAGGAGGCAGAGACACTAGAATTAAATGGCAAGAGACCTTGCCAGTTGGAGTGGATTCAGAAATGATCAACTGTCTTGGGGATCGATGAGAAAGAAAGAATAAAGTAATAAGGATTCCAATGTATCAAAACACTACTGATGCGCAGGGACATGTTTTGCTTTTGTTCTTTTAAAATAAATTTTCATTCGGGTCCATTGCTTAAACCATTTTACCCCCAAGCCCTCTGACAAACTGTCAAAGATAACTCACTGCGCAAAGCATTGAATCTTTCTATCCATCTACCCATCATGCATCTCTCTACCCATATATCTAAGTACATCTGTGGATAGTTGTGCTAGGCACTGTCTATCTGTCCGTCTGTCTATCTATGGACGTTGGATTGCATATACCAAGCCCATTTCTCCAGCTTTGCCTGAATGTTAGCAAATCTTTCTACTAGTCAAGGCAACTTTATTTTCTTGCAAAATAGGAAAGCAGTTGAGAAGATAAGATTCTGATGTCATGCAACCCTGAGTCTAATGTGCATCAACACTATCTGCTTCCTGTGTGACCCTGGGCAAGTTACTTAGCCTCTCTGACCCTTAGGTACCTCATGTGGAAATCGGGTATCACACAAACACCTGTGTAACCATGGCATTTGAGGATAAAATGAGAGAAGTCAGTTCTTGGCAAATGGTAAATGTTAGTAAGAATGAGGATAAGAATAATGCCACCTAGCCACTCACTGAACTCCTTTTTTATTTTTTTTTCATTTCTAGGTCACCTGATTCGCTGGCAGTCACCATCTGGAGACCAGAGGAGCATTCATCACTGCAAGTCAGGGCTTCCTTGGTGCCTCCCCAGGGGCAGCCTGCCGAGCCGGGAAGCTGACACCAGGGATTTAAACCTTCCTCGGCTTCCTCATTCTATTAATCTGGCCGTTAAGCAGAGAGTCCTGCTGATGCCAACAGATGCAAAGCTCTGCTGTGCTAATGGTAAAGAGCATTAGAGGAGTCCTCAGCAGCCAATCAATCCATCTCCCCCAACTCAGAACAGCTGCACAGGGACAGATTAACCAAGCGATGGCTGAGGACCGTTGCAATTCACACGAGGGAGAGAGGGATGCGTGAAGGAAAGGGCCCCTGCACAGCCGTGTTCTAATGCAGGCCAGGTCTTGGACAAGCAAAGCGGCTGATGCATTGTGCAAGGACACAGCTCTCAGTGAAATCTAACAGGCAGGCTAACCTGTGACAGCTGGGCTCAAGATGGAGCAGGCGATGCTGTCCTTAGAAGCCAAGTGCACTGGGAGAAAAGCGGGAACTGACCCAGGGCTCAGGGTACATCTGTCACCTAACCTCTGCAGAGTTAATTCTTCCAAGCTTGGCCACATCTGCCATCTTGTTCATGGCATATGGGTAACATTTGAGGCACTACTTCCTGCCAGAAAGGGACCTGACCCCCTTGTCTGACCTGCCTGCAGGCAGCTGAACAGGATCCCATCATTCACCTCACAATGGGCTGAGGCCAGCACAAAGTCAGATCTGGCCACGGGCTTGTGCCAACAGTCACAAAGAAACATTTGCACTTTGGTTGGGTTCCAACATCTCTTTAACATGGGAAATCAGAACTCGGGGAGCGAGAACAATATTCCCAGGCTCCCCAAAGACAGGGAACCAAATGAGACTGATGGAGCATCGTTTGCAGACAAATTGAAGCTCTTCCCCAATGGCATAGCACAAATGCTGAGAGTCTACCTTGTGCCATTGCTGGTTGCAGATGGAGGTTCAGGTCCCTTGGGCTAACAGATTGGACTTTAAGAGTCGCCACTGTGTAAGGAGCTGCTGCTGGAAGCCTCAGGTGCTGGCCAAAGCCACTGGTCTGCAACTCCTCTTTCCCATGAGGGTTTTGAAGGGCTGATGGGGTGGTGTCCAGAGTGAAGGATACAGGAAGGTCAAAGACAGAACCATCCAGGGATTCTGCTGTTCCACTCCCAGGAGATAAGATTTGACTTCCAGAGTTCCGGACACAGATGTTCGCCCATGGGTTTTCATAAGTTTAATAGGGTATCCTTCTGGGGAAGGATAAGGAAAAGAAGGACCATCATTTTAAAAACACACCGTGGAAGTTCTCTCATAGTCCCTGGGGTAGACTGGGTAGAGACACGTTTCCCAAAGGGTAGCACACACATCTCTGATAGGAAGTTTAGGTGACATCAGAGGGTGCGTACAGGAACAATATTTTCACAGTTTAATATCTATTTTAATGTTGTGCAAAAAAATATATAACTAGCCCTTCAAACTTGTGGTTCCATGAATATTATTGCTTGAGACAGTGTTTCTCAATCTCAACACCATTAGTATTTAGGGCTGGATCATTCTTTTTTGAGACCGAGTCTCACTCTGTCACCCAGGCTGGAGTGCAGTGGCTCAATCTTGGCTCACTGCAGCCTCTACCTCCTGGGTCCATGTGATTCTCCTGCCTCAGCCTCCCAAGTAGCTGGGATTACAGGCACATACTACCATGCCTGGCTATGTTTTGTATTTTTTTTCAGTAGAGATGGGGTTTCACCATGTTGGCCAGGCTGGTCTCGAACTCCTAGCCTCAAGTGATCTGCCTACCTCAGCCCCCCAAAGTGCTGGGATACAGGCGTTAGCCACCGTGCCAGGCCCAGGACCAGATAATTCTTTCCAGTGGGGAGCTGGCCTGTGTGTTGTAGGATATTTAACAGCAACCTGGGTCTCCACCTACTAGATGCCAGTTGTAAACCCCCCAACCAGATGAGACCACCACCAAATGTCTTCAGACGTTGCCAAATAACCACTGGGAATCAAAACCACCCCCCGGTTTAGAACCATTAGATTAAGGTAAGTCTATTTCTGAAAGCAAAGTGAGTTATGTTAAGGAAAAATGTATTTTTAGGTGACTTTATAGAATAGATGAAATTTACATAAGGCAAAGGTGGTCAAGGTGATAAGGACAGACAAAACCAAGCCAGAGGACAGCCAAACAGGCAGAGGAAACCGAATCCTTTTCCTCCTCAGAGCTGCACCTTCTATACTTCCCTGCCGGCCCTGGCGCCTGGTCAGCCCTGGGGCCCCCGTGGCTATACCTGTGTGCCAGAGAATGCAAGGACAGAAAAGCACAAGGAAACTGTGAAGATCTGCTGGCCTTCCCCATCAGGGAGGAAGCAAGGAAGGTCTCCTCATTCCTCTTAGGAGAACCCAAGCAGAGATGCCAAGGAGAGGGCAAGGACCCAAGGTGGAGGAGGCAAAGGCCAGGGGAGCAGGTGGTCTTTTCCAGTCCACCCCAGAAACCCTTGAAATCGCTGAGCTGTCATTCAGCCTTGAAACGTTCGAACAGGTTTGACTGTGTCTGACACTTGCAAGCTATTCACTGTGGGGCTCTGAACGAGGCCTGTCCTGTCTGCCTACTCTCTTTACTGTCAGCCAAACCCAAAGAGCTAAGGAAATGATTAATCCAAAGATAAGAAACGTCCCCTTCAGATCCAGCAGGAAAAGTAACAGTTCTATTGGTTTAAAAAGCTGCCACTTGCCGGACGCAGTGGCTCATGCCTGTAATCCCAGCACTTTGGGAGGCCAAGGTGAGCGGATCACAAGGTCAGGAGATCAAGACCATCCTGGCTAACACGGTGAAACCTCGTCTCTAGAAAAAATATTAAAAAATTAGCCGGGCGTGGCAGCGTGCGCCTGTAGTCCCAGCTGCTGGGGAGGCTGAGACAGAAGAATGGCGTGAACCCGGGAGGCAGAGCTTGCAGTAAGCCGAGATCATGCCACTGCACTCCAGCCTGGGCAACAGAGACTCGGTCTCAAAAAAAAAAAAAAAAAAAAAAAAAAACGCTACCACTCACAAGCACTTAGCACGTACCCCGGACTTTATAAACATCATTTCCTGTGACCCTCAACCACAACTCTGCAAGGTGGGCACTATCACTGGGATGACGTTTCAGATGCGAAGACACTGGCTTAGACATTATGTGGCCCCATGAACACTGCAGGGCTAGAAGACACAGAGGTGGAATTCCACCTGGCTCTGTTGAACTCCAAGGCCTATACTCATAGCTGCTGCACTGTCCTAGCTCCCAGGAAGGCAGAAAGCAGACAGTCAGGGCCGTGCCCTCCCTTACAAGACCCGCTGGTCATCCTCCTCCCCACACGGAAATGCCACTGCAATCACAATTCCTCAGAATGGCCTAACACGCAAGCAGATGAAAGGGTGCAACTTCCTTCCATATGCTGCCCTCACTGCCAAGGAATAAAAGTCCTCCAAGTTCAGGCATCAAAGAGTAGCATCTTCCCACTTCATGGCTCTCCTCTGTCTCCTCTCTCCTTTGCATGAACCTCCGCATGATGGTTGGGCAGGAGCGAAGGACAGACGAAAACTCAAAAGAAATGATTATGGTTCTCGCCACAGGTGGGAGGGGCACCAGACACCTGGGTGCGAATGTGCACCCATGCACACCCACACCATTGCACACACGTGTACACTATATGCCAGTGTGTATACATACATGTGCAGGCACACACACATCCAAATGGGACCAGGGGCAGCCATGGGCCTGTCCAGCCTTTCAGAGCCACGGGACAAGTCCCCTTGAGAGCTGGAATACTAAGGCTGAGATAAGTGGCCAAGACAGGAAAGATACTTACCTGAGTCTCCAGGGTGATGAGCGGACTTGGGTGTGGATCCTGTAGGATGAAAGGAGAAAATGCACGTGAGGAGTGAAAAAAAGTTAACTTACTACCCCAGCATCTTTTTCTTTCTTTCCTTTTTTTTTTTTTTTAAGAGACAGGGTCTCGCTTTGTTGCCCAGGCTGGAGAGCAGTGGCATGATCATAGCTCACTCACTGCAGCCTCGACCTCCAGGGCTCAAGTGATCCTCCCACCTCAGCCTCCCAAGTAGCTATGACTACAGGCATGCACTATCATGCCAGGCTTTTTTAAAAAATTATTTTTGTAGAGATGGGGTCTCGCTATGTTTCCCAGGCTGTTCTCCAACACTTTGGCCTCAATGATCCTCCCACTTCGGCCACCCAACGTGCTGGGATTATAAGCATGAGCCACCACGCCAAGCTCCCAGCATCATTTTCAAACAAAGCTTGATTTCCCCAGTGGTCAAGCCACCCCACGGGGAGGGCAGCCCAACCTGTGTCCTCCATTCTACAGAGACATCAGGACAGCTTGGCCCAGTCTGCAGGCCGCCCCAACACTTCCTCTCACGCACAAGTGATGAAAGAGGCTCAAGTTTTTATGAAGGAAATGCCCACATGGAGATCACACAAAACAACAAAATGTAAAGAAAAAAGAAACAAGGCACCCTTGCCAAAGAGCTCAACGTGTATCCAAACCCTCTATAAGGAGAGTTTGGCTCCGTAAGAGGATTAGGAATAAACCAGAAAGAATATAAAGTCCTGACTAGGAACAAGGCCATCATCAATTTGTGTCTGATCTTGGAAAGAACAAGGGAAGGAATGAGAGCGAGCAGCTTAATTTCTGGTTTGAGGAGCACATTCCATGGTCTGGGGAAGGTCTTTTTTTAGGATAGAGAAGGCCAGAGAAATGTCCTATTCATTCACTCTGTACAAAAGCCGATTGACTGGGAATGCTTGGTGGTACTGTCTCGGGTCATTAAGCATGAACCCTTTGGGTTGGAGGAGAGACAGGGAGGGTACAGGAGGAGGAAAAGACTGATGGGAGGAGTTGGTGGTGTCCAGTGAGTGGTTTCCAAAGAAAACAGGAAACCCAGCACATGAAGGCTATTTCTGTCTATACCACGTCTGCTCTGAACTTAATCATCTTGGATTTATAATTCTGGGAAAAACAACCTCAAGCTTCCTCTGATAGAGAATGGGCATGATTTTAGGGCCCTGAAGTACACATCCAGTTTGAAGCTTTGCTTTGTCTTAGCAGATTTTCCACCACGGGGTTTTAGGAAGCCATGCAAATTAGCACCAGCCCATTGTCCCATACTGTGAGCAAGAAGGAAATGCAGGGAAATTGGAACTTTCTAAACCCCTTCTCTAGGTGAGCTGCCATTCACTGTCTTGATGACTGTTCTACGGTATCTTTGTAATGATGCCCAATTCTGAGGAGTGTAAGAGGCACGATCTCAGAAATACGGTGAGCTCTGCTCAGCTCTGTCCTTTAGGAAGAGGAATTCGTCGTCCCCCAACTCCAATTCTGAGTCCAACTCCCAGTAATTCTCCATTGGTGTAACTGAAAGGAAACTGCCAAGAGAACATCCCACTCTAATTCTCACATTCCCCCAGGCATTGAGTCTTCCTCATACCCAAGAAAACATGGAGGGGAATATGTTCTCCCCGTCTCCCCACATTGCAGCCTTGACCTATAAAGGAATCTGGGGAAGTCATGAAGGAGCTGTTTTGGGCCTGTCTCTTCAAATCCTTACTGATTCCTTCCCAGGGGTGAAGAAGTGGCAGCTAGGATTGGTAAAACCCGACATTCATAGAGCAACTTTCTTTTGATCAGGCAGGTTTTGTATCACTCGCATGCAGAAAGAGTCTACTCTGTACTTCCTGTTTCCCTGTGTTGGGGCAGGACCCATTTTTGTCTTTGGGAAGCAAGACCATCCTCCTGGTCTGTGGGTGGCAGCATGAGTCAGACCTGGTACGAGCTTAGTGGGCGAGAGCATGCAACATCTGCTGTTCAGGTCAGAGTAGTCTGTGTCTGTCTGTCTGTCCATTCAGATCTTACCACCTCGATTTTGATTATAAGATAAGAAGCTGCATCTCAGCCTCAAAATTAGCCTCAATCTCCAAGCCAAGTGCTAGCAAAGCACCAGACTGGGGTGTTGGGTGCATGCCCAGATTAATTAAGCTGTACTTCACAGACCATTTGGCTATTGTCTGAGACTTAATGCTTCATTGCTTAGAATCTCCAAGAGGTTGAAGAGGGGAGAATGCCATCCTGACCCCTAAAAGCAGCTCCAATGGACAAGACTTTCCTTGGGAAGTCACAGGAAATCTCTGTCAACTGTGTTGACAAAATCAAAAGCCTGATCTCTAGACACAGTGAAGCATCAGCTCTCTATTTGATGTTCCAAAATCAGAGACCTTATCAGTGCATGGTCAGGGATCCAAGATTAAGAAGATTCTGGAAAGCAAAAGCACAAATGCTATCTATTTAGCATCTTCATTAACTAACTGGGAAGAAGATAAAGTCCTCACAAGGGGCCACATCATTAATACTTGGGTTTCACTTGCCAGCATCATTATGCTCTCCTCCCTCTGCACACACTGGAAATGGAAGACTCTCCCTAAAGAGCCTCAGTCCAGAGGATTCAAGGTATGACTATATATCTGTGAGGTCTCGCTTTCAGCAACATCCTCCTTAATTGGAAAGGCTAACGAAGTGGAACCAGGTCAATGATGCTGTCTGCCTAATCCATCCTATCTGTCTAAATTGGGACTCTTTGGTTTACAGTAGAGTAAATTCCTGTCCATCAGAGGAAAGCCTCCTGGAGACCAAAGGGGAATTTGCAATGTGCGTGCACGCTACAGTGGAGTGCTTTTAGAATCTTAATGCCGGTACCAGTAACCATGGAACCGCCTACAACAAGGAAAGCCCTTTCCTATCATCTATTGCAATGGCTCAGTTGGGGAAGTCAAATGGGGAACCAGGTGCACTGAATTGGTGGCCCTCATTCGTCACAGCTCCTAGATCCATGCCCTCTGGTCATGTGACTCGACAGTTCTTTACTGTGTGCTTCTGCAGCCCTTAAGCTTGGGTTTGCCCATTTGACTGCTTTGCCCAATGGGAGGTTAGTAGATGTGGCATAAGCAGAAGCTTGAAATATGCTTAGGTGATCAAGTGTGGCCTACTGTGTTTTTGCCATTGCCACAAGAGATCATGTCCCCAGTACCTTGCTGGTCCAAGGAGGATGCCAGACACGTGAAACAAACCTGTACACAATCTACAGCGTGCAGCCACGCCCCGCCTAGATCAGCCGACCCCCTGCCAACACAGAGAAAATATATGCTTGTTGTTTCAAGCCACTGAGTTTTGAAGTCATTTGTTATACAGCATTATTGTGGCAGTAACTGATATACTTTCTAAACACTGACCTCGATAGATCAAAAAGTGTTGTCACAAACACTCACAGACTCAGAACCTAAATAATACATGCTCTTTCTCTAAGTCTGCAAATGCATCCCAGGAACCTGAAATTACTACAGCTAACAGCGATCATTTATAGAGGGCCTCCTAGGTGCCAGGCCCTGTGTGCTAGCTCTATTATTACATCAAGCAAGGAAATAAGTGACCATCAGGATCTTGCATGCCTCTGAATTAGCCTTCAATCCTGTGTGCCCAATATACCAGTCCTTCTGAATTTATTATTTAGATACCAACACAACATGACAGGAAATGATTACTCAGAATCCTTTTGCCTGAAAATACATACAGTTTTCATTCCTTTGGTTTATTCTTAACTTTGTCCTATGGGCATATTACTTGACTGAGGTTCTGAACAGTTGAATACTAGCAATAAATGACATTTGTTAAGTTCTCACTATGTTCCAGGCACTGGGCTTAACTTCTATGCGTGTATCATTTCGTTTACCCCTGTAATAACCCTAAGAGGTAGATACTATCATTATCACTATCATTAGTATAGAGATGGAGAAACTGATGACCAGAGAGACTGGTAACCTGTCCGAGTCACACAGATGCTGTTGAAAGCCTGGATCTGATCCCAGCATCTTACACTGGAGAACACTGGGTTCCACTCTTTCACAAGAGCTCTGCTGGAAAATATATTATTACTTTAGACAAAATAATCCTACAATTTTTGGATAATGTCTATCAAAATCAAGAATACTTACAGCAAATAAGCAGTACCACCTTAACAAATACCGTAATCTTTTTTTTTTTACCATCTGTCTTTTTTAAAAAGGTAGCGGACATGGTTGATAGAAATTAGCACACATATCATGACTAGAAACAAAACAGTCACTTTGCCACAGCAAGGAACCATGTAAAGTTAGCTAAATCAATCCACACGTGTTTACTAAGTTCCGATTCAGTAGCTAGCTCTATGCGTGGCAGGCACCATGAGGGAGACAGAAATGAGTTTAAAGTGACTCTGTGTACACTGCTATTCCCAAAGGTAACTGTTTAAATAAGAGGCAGGAGCCTGATTACAGGTCTTAGAGCAATGAAACTTGTCTACACCTCAAAAGTCTTGCTTGTAAGACCAAGAAGCCAGGCTCAAGGCCAAAGGCTTAATTTTAACAAGCAATTAAGCCCCAACAAAGAAAGTAGAGAGAGGAGGAGGACTTTGTTCGTTATCATTCCACACATACATCAAACCTATCTGGCTCTCCTGGCGGATTCTGAGCCCTGAGCTAAGCCTCAGCCATTGGAAAGCATGTTCTCTTCCTTTGCTTTGAGGACATTCAGAAGACAGTGCTTGTTCTTTGGTGTTAGGCAATGACATTGGTGTAGAGATAATGACACTGGAACTCACGCCTTCAGAGCCAGGTATCTCCGTGAAGCCCACCAAATCAACAACATAGACAATGGACATTTACATGCTACCTTCTTCCACAGACGCTCCCAGGGAACACTTCAGAAGGCTGGCTTGGTGCCTTCTCTCCGCCAAGAGCCCTCTAATTAAGGCCAGAACTGGGAATCTTCCACCATCAAAAGATGGTGTCTCACTGTCACTCATCATCCAACCACCAGATAACTTGGAAAATCTAAGAAACTCTTCTTGGGATTGCAGATCACAGCGAATGAAAACTCACTCATGACTCGAGCCTGCTGGAGAATGTCCAGCTCTAGCCAAGTCTGAATGACCAGCCAGAAACCTAAAGGGACACTGTCACTTAGCTGCAGGCCTAGTAGTGCAGGACAAAGATGAATTATTCAGTGGGAAAAGAGGGCAGGTTTAGGGGTCGCCCCAGAGTTCAAACCATACATAACCACTGTATTCATTTGCTAGGGCTGCTATAATAATACACAGGTGAGGTGGCTTAAACAACAGAGATTTATCCTTTCACAGTTCTGGAGGTTGAAAGTCCAAGGTCAAGGTGTCTGCAGGTCTGGCTTCTGAGGTCTGATTCTCCTCCTAGCCTGTAGAGATGGTGGCCTTCTCACTGTTTCCTCACACAGCCTTTTCTCTATGCATCCCGGGTATCTATGTGTCAAAATTTCCTCTTCTTTTTGGGGTGCCAGAAATGGAGTCTCATTCTGTGGCCCAGACTGCAGTGCAGTGGCACAATCCAAGCTCACTGCAACCTCCGCCTCCTGGGTTCAAGCGATTCCCCTGCCTCAGCCTCCCGAGTAGCTGGGATTACAAGTGGTTGCCACCACGCCCAGCTAATTTTTTAGAATATTTTTAGTAGAGATGGGGTTTCACCATGTTAGCCAGGCTGGTCTTGAACTCCTGACCTCAAGTGATCCACCTGCTTCAGCCTCCCAAAGTGCCGGGATTACAGCTGTGCACCATCATGCCAGGCTAATTTTTGTATTTTTAGTAGAGATGGGCTTTTGCCGTGTTGGCCAGGCTGGTCTCGAACTCCTGACCTCAGGTGATCTGCCTGCCTCACCCTCCCAAAGTGCTGGGATTAAAGGCATGAGCCACCAGGCCTGGCTCAAATTTCCTTTTCTTATAAACAAACCAGTCAGATTGGATGAGGGCCCCATTAATTTAATGCAATCACCTCAGTAAAGGCCTTATCTCCAAATAGTCACATTTTGAGGTATTGGGGGAGGAAGGGTTTCAACATATGAAATTAGGGTGGGGGTACAATTCAGTCCATAACAACCACCTAGCACCACTTGCGACCTTGGGCAAAGTCCTTAGCTTCTGTGAGCTTTATTTTTCTCACTGACCCCCACGTAAACAGGTAGGATTATACTTGCCAACAGAGCTACTGTAACAAAGTGGAAAACAGATTTTCTGGGACCTTTTTGTAAGGGACACTATTAATAATTATACAAGCTTAACAGGTATAAACCCAGACTGTCCCAGGAAACCCTAAGATAGGCTCCTCTTTGTCTTGAACACAGCATACCACTGACATCATGAGTTGTCGTGAACATTAAATAAAAATAAATACTGTACATAGTTACAACCTCAGAAATGATCTTCTCTTTGATTTCTTCCTCCAGGCTTACAAAGGCTGAGACATATCCCTCTATACTCAACCCTACTAAACCACAAGTCTTCTGAACTGCAAGTTACCGTAGATACGAGTGCAACCTATGTCACGTGACGGCAGTGAACTGAGCAAATTTAGCTAATTCGTTTTGAATGCTTACTTTATGCCAAGCATACGAAATTCCTGCAACGCTGCCAAGGGAGGTATCATGATCCCCATTTTATAGATCAGATAACTGATACTCTCAGAGAATAATTTGCTCAAAAACACAGGGCTAATCAGGAATGGAGCCAGGAGCAGTAAGCAAGTTTGTAAGTTGCCAGAAACTAGTCCTTTAACCGATATCCTGGTGTTAATCAAAAGTATGAACTTACTGAATCAGAATCTCTGGGCAAGGGTCCAAGGAATCTACATTGTTATGAAACACCCTTGGGGGATTCTTACGTACGCTGAACCGGAGAGACTTTACATGATACCTAAACTCTACCATGTGTAATGCAAGACTGAAAAAGCTTCCAAACTGACAAAGAATACGATTCCTGCCTCTGATCCCCAGCCAGCCATCAAGTGTCGGATGCATGCGTGAAACTCTTAAGAGCGTTGGTGTTCACGCTCTGCACCCCCAAGAAATTTCCAGGACGGGTGCAAAGTGTTCCCTTCTCCCCACTTTGGTGAAGAGATTTGCCTTGCCCTAAAAAACCTGGCTACCACCCTCCACTTTCCAGCATTTCCTCCTCAGGGAAGTGGGACTCTTTTTCAACTCCTCCTTCTTAGGGTCTCATTGCAGCAACCAAGGTGTTGCATAACGGGGCTTTCTCTTCAGATGTCCCCATGGGATTTCACACTGGCTCCTAAGACGAAGGCTGGGCACGTGCAGGGCAGGCGGCATGGGGTGATGAGGGAGGGATGCCAGTGATACAGAGGTGTCCTTGTTCTCTAAAAAAGACTGCATTTGGAATGTGAATGCAGGCCAGAATCACACAGCCCTCACCTTGTTGGAAAATGTGAACTCACCTTCAAATAGGGCTCAGGGGAGAAAACAGAAACCCCACAGAGAGAACAAGGGGATTCTCAATGTTTTACAGAAACGTTGGCAGTTAAAACTGGGTGTATTGCGCGCTCTCTTTCTCTCTTTTGTATTAAAAGCTTAAAAAGCTGGTCTTTCTGCTATCCTACTTTCATTCTACATTTTTTTAGCCCAGGACCCAGAAATGAGCAGTAGAACCTTAAAATGAAGCTTAGGCCCTTGGAGATGGCAATTCATCACCCACAGCCTTGGAAGATAGAGAAACCACAGACTCATGGAAACTTGGGAATTATCTTAATGCTTCTCCAGCTTGGTATGTGTATCCTTGAGCACAAATGGTTATCAAAAATCTAAACTCCTGTATTTAATACTTTGTTCTGTGTGTGCCTCAAGAGGTTTTGTAATTCTTTAAAAAGTACACAGAATTACCATCTTAGAATTACAAGGTTTTGAAGAAACCTACCTGAAAAGATTAGAGGCTTGAGCTACAGAGTGTTAAGACAAGAATGCCCAACTGGTGGCCTGTGGATGCTTCAAGCTGGTTTGCTTTTTTTTTTTTTTTTTGGCCTGCAGCCTTGATGAAATACTTGAAATCATTCATTGCCAATGTTTTAAAACCAGGATACTTCACATGCAAATCTAGATTTCTCACGTCTCCTTTAAGAACAGAAGATTTAGCAACACTGGATGTGTATTCTTGCAAGAAAACAGCTCCAGACTGAGTAGCTGGCCTGGCTACTGCAAGCAACAGAATTTATCACCCCCATATTAATGCAAATTGCCTAAGGTCACATAGCTAGTCAATATTGACAATAATCAAAATACCAGCTAACATTGTTCTCACACTGAATGCCAGGTATTACTGTAAGGGGTTTGTAAATATTATCTTATTTAATTCTTACAACTGTCTGGGTGTTGTGGCTCAAGCCTGTAATCCGTGGAGGCCAAGGCTGACGGATCACTTGCGGTCAGGAGGTCGAGACTGGCCTGACCAATATGGTGAAACCCCATCTCTACTAAAAATATAAAACTTAGCTGGGCGTGTTGGTGCATACCTGTAGTCCCAGCTACCCAGGAGGCTGAGGCACGAGAACAGCTTGAACCCTGGCGGCAGAGGCTGCAGTGAGCCAAGATAGTGCCACTGCACTCCAGCCTGGGTGACAGACTGGGACCGTGTCTTAAAACAAACAAACAAACAAACAAACCAACCTTACAAGAACTCCAGGAGGCAGGCACCAAAAGCCCCATTTTACAGATGGTGTAATTGAGGCTCAAAGGAGAAGTAATTTTTTCAAACTCATTCATTAGTGGGTGGTGAAGCCAGGATTTGAAACAGGGCATCCTTTTGGACCACTAAGCTACCCTGCTTCCCAGTGGTACAACCACATCTTGAACTGGAATCATTAAACCACAGTTCCTGGTTCTATCAGCATCTGGCACTAAGAAGCCATAAGGAGCACTGAATTGGATCAGATGCTCCTCATACTAGATGTTCTCATTTCCTTGCTGCGAGTCTTCAGGTCGACTACTTTGCTTTTTCCAGTGGTTAATGGTAATAATCATCACCATGATCCTCTCACACTCATTGTGGAGCACTGACTGAGATGTTCTACCAGAGCCCGGCTCAGTCCTGACAGAGTGGGTGGGCCACCAATGTTAGTTCCTCTTAGAAGACAATTGGCGACACTTTACAGTGTTTTGCTTTTCACAGCTCAGAGGCATCTCAGACCATAAACAAGACCTGCCACGTGCCAAGAAGGCAGCCGTTACCCGACATGGCCCAGACAGGAAGTGCTGGCTAAATCCCACCATGCCGCAAATCTTTCTAAAGGTGGCCACCCAGGCTGTGTTTGAACACACATCCTCCTGGAGCTGGGAACACACGCCACATCTATAATTCATCCCGATAATTAGCTTTTCCCAGGCACAGGCCGCAGCACCTATCAATTTTGCACCCACTTGCTGTGGTCACCAAGATGGCAGGTGGCCCAACTGGAACCAATACTGCCAAGTGTCCCACAGACATTGTCTGGAGTTCCAATGATACTATGTGACTTCTGGGACTGCTGGGTGAGATCTCTGTTCCACAGGAAAATAGTTCATATTTGAGCTCCAGAATCCAAAATCGTGAGTTCAAGAAAAGCACTTAGAGGTGCAGACCAGTTATGCAGCGAATTCACAATAAGTTGCCCGAGGCAGCTGTTACTAAGCAGTCCACCTGGCCTCAAATTCTCAATACGGCCCGAGGAGCAGATATTATTAATAGATTCCAGTTTCCCTAGATGTCCGTCCCTGACCTGAATCAAACCCATCACTGTTTGGTGAGGCATGGGAGATCCAGGAGGAAAGGCCTATTTCCTAAGGGCCACACACAGTTTGGATTAAAATTCAGTGTAGAATGTCAGTTTTTTGATACCAAATCTGGAGTTCATCCCATTTTGCCAAAATAAATTTCTATGCACATCCCTCCCTGCTTTTCTTCACTTCCTCCTCTTTTGCTCCTTCACAAGAGCCTCTGACCAGGACATCTATTGTCGAAGATACAGGAAAACTGTGATTCAGCAGTGCTTCGCGTCTGGAATGACTCCAAGAGGCCACACACAGAACTGCCGACACAAACCACGGGGGGCGGAAAAAACGATCCCAGGAGGTGGGGAGTGGAGAGCTTTGCAGTCCCAGGCTACAGCTCGGGATGTAGAGCTGCCTTCCTAGGACAGAAGAGAGACGATGAGAACACCTGGCTGGAAGGTGGCCCTGCAGGGGACGGATGGGCCTTCTACATTTAGAGTCAGGATGGAGTCAGAAAGCTTCAGCAGGGGAGGGACTCTGCCTGCAGCCTGTCCCCTCAACCTCCTCTAATATTTCTTAATGAAACGATAGTGACAATGAAGATGACAGCCTTGATGACAGCGCCCAGTAGACCGCTATCATTGGTTAAGTCCTTATGAGATACCATAATTCACCATTTATGAGCATTACTTCAATAAACCCACATTCTATCCTCATGAAGTGGCTGTTCCCAGAAGGCCATAAAGACTGGATAGATAGATTTTTTTTTTTTTTTTGGTTTTTACTTTAAAAAAAAAAAACGACAGGGTCTTGCTCTGCTGCCCAGATTGGAGTGCAGTGATGTAATCATGGCTCACCACAGCCTTGAACTTCTGGGCTCAAGCAATCCTTCCACCTCACCCTCCCAAGTAGCTGGGACTACAGGCCTGTGCCACCACGCCTGGCTAATATTTCATTTTTTGTAGAGATGGGGTCTTCCTATGTTGCCCAGGCTGGTCTTGAACTCCTGGTCTCAAGTGATCCTACTGCCTTGGCCTCCCGAATTGCTGGAATTGCAGGCAAGAGTCAGTGTGCCCAGTTTGCTTTTTCTCTTGATGACATTAAGTATTTCCTTGTTCCTGGATTATGAATACCCTGTAGTACTGTTCCTAATTTATATAGGAGGAAACTGAGGCTCAGAGAGTTTCAAAGACTTGGTTGAAAGCCACAGAGCCAGGCCCATTTAACCTTAATATCTTCAGAGAGGTTTAAAAAAAAAAAGAAAAAAAGGTAACCAAAATGCTTGGATGTGGTATGGTGTGATCTGCATGGTGCACAAAAATACTTCTTTTTTTTTTTTTTTTTTTAGATGGAGTTTTGCTTGTCACGCAAGCTAGAGTGCAGTGGCGTGATCTCGGCTCACTGCAACCTCCACCTCCCGGGTTCAAGCGATTCTCCTGCCTCAGACTCCTGAGGAGCTGGGATTACAGGCACATGCTACTAAGCCTGGCTAATTTTTGAACAATACTTTTTTTAAAATTAGGTGCCAGCATTTAAAATTTAGGGTGAAATCATGATATTCTGATTTGTGGCTTTTCGTGAAATGTGGAAAGATCTGACCCACTGGGTAGGCAGGTCCACTTAAGGCAGGCACATCCCCTTCTGTTTGCCACAACCCCACCCTGCCCACCTGGGCTGAGCCCTGAAAGCATCTAAGTTTATGACCTTCCTATCTGTTCACCACCATACCTTACCCCTCCCCCACAAAGGAAGGTACCATGTTACCCCATGAACATGACTCCAACCCTCACCCGCCAACCTCAAGAAGAAAAATTCGGGATCCCGTGACTTCACAGCAGAAACAGAAAAACTCAAATAATCCATCAGGAAGTTGAGCACTGAGGTTAATACACACAGGACCATCTTCCTCTAGCTCAACAGTCTTGACTTTTCAGGGCCGTGACCCAGAAGGGAGGTGCCCGTGCAGAAGGCAGAACAGGAAGAGGTTCTTAGCACCCACTGTTTTCTCTTCCTGCACAGCCGCCTTGGGCAGCTGCCTGTGAACAGCCTGGCTGTTTTTCTCCTAGCTCTCTCGGAAGGAAGTGCTCTCATCACCCACGACAACAGAGTTGGCCCGAGGAGCCAAAAACGTGCAAAGGGGCTCCAAGCCCAGCTCTCCTTCTGTTCGGGGCAGCCTCAGAGACAGGAAGATGGGAAGAAAGTATGGCCTGGGATAGAACATCCTGCGAGACCCTTACAAAGCCCCAGCTGTGGGGGAAGGGAACAACAGGAGGGGGCCAGAGGAAGGGGGTCCAGGTCACACCAATTTTATACAATGAGCTCCTTTCATCCGTGAATAGAGGACTCTCCTTAACTCTGTCTCAATGGCTTTGTTTCTGAAACGATCAATTCTACACCCAGAAAGCCAAATTTGCCAGACCTCATGCCAAGGTCAGGCAAGAGCCTGAGATCCCCCAAGCAAGTTGATAATCAACACGCAGGAGACGACGCTGTGCTAAGTCCCATTTGGCGGATCCAAAGCTTACAACGATCCGCTTTCATTTCTACGCCTTCTGCAGTGGGGCGGGGTTGGGGGACCCTCGCTCACATGCATGCCACGCTTGGTGGAACTGTAGGCTGTATTCAGGAGAGTAAGTGTTACTTTCCCAGGGACTTCATTGAGACATCTGCGGGGAGGGCAGGATGAGAAAGAGCTGGAGAAACAAGATGCAAGGTAAAGTGTGTGGTCTCACACTGAACACGTTCATGAAGTGGTGGGAAGCAACCCTAGTGACTCAGCAGTGGCCTCTGTTTAGCCAGCACTTTGAGAACACGATCTTCATGGGCTGACTGCAGAGGTGGCCAACAGAAACTGGAATCTACAAGCAGTATTCAGCTCAGGCATAGTTTGTTCAGCCTGCACAATGTTTTAAAAAGAACAACAAAAACCTACATAGGATGCCAATACTTCACATTCAGGAGGTTTCCCATAAAACTGCAAAGTTCTGGCATTTTTTGGAAAAATCAGAAGACCTAGCTACACAAATCCAGCATTTTCCTAAGGCACTGCCTTTCTGGCACTGGAAAGCAGCTATCTCCCTTAGAAGGGTCACAGGCCCTCCTGCTTGCCACAGTCCCCGCCCCAGACACATGTCCTTCACTTACGGCTGCCAGTGTGGCTGCTGTGGGCATTGGTGTTTGTAATCTCTGGTTTAGTGGATCCTAAGCTAAGCCCAGCACTTTCAGCTGGAGGACCTGAGGTTAGAGAGAAGGACGGGATATGAACCATAGACAGGTTGTAAAGTAACGTGGCTGCAAAGTCCAAGAATAATTTAACTCAAGAAGCACCTATGAATGCACACCCAGGAATACAAGGCAGAGAGCAAAGTTGACTCCCATGGATAGGGGTGAGAGTCCTGTCTTCTCATCAGCCCCTGCTACATACTTTTGACAACTTGTCCCACTTCCCCAGGACCAGGGACTATCTTCTTTGTTTTTATGCTTAATGAAGTCCTAAGACTGCCACATAGAAAGCACTTGGTAAATTCTTGCTGAACCAAAATCAACGGAAACCCAATTCATGTTATAGGTGGAATCTGAGAGATGTATGCTGAGAACTCAGCCAACTTCTGAGCTGTAGGATGTTTTCCTGACTGTAAGTCAAGGCAAGTCCTCCCTATAAAGAAGAGTTTGGGGTATAAATGACACAGCAGAAGGAGACAAGCTCAACCTACTGATTGGCTAATGTCTGAGATGAGGAAGCAGAAAGGTTAGTCTTTATAGGATATGTAGCATATCTGATGAGCTATGGTCTGTTAGGAAGGTACTATACGTACTAATTTCATAAAATTGAAGTATGTTCCAACTTATCAAAGGATGCAAAAACTCCACAGAAGGAAGGAAGGACCTCATGTGGTGGCAGGTGCAGCATATTTTACTGCAACCTTTCTAGGTCTAAAAAGGTAAAATGAGGTTTATCACATCTGCTTCTGCTGTGTATAGCCATGGCTAGTTTTCTCCAGCTCTGTTTATTAAGAGACAGAGAGAAAGAAAGAGAGAGTGTATGTGTGTGAATATGCATGTGTGTACACACACATATGTGAGCATCCACATGCACATACAGGTATGCATGTGTGGTCTCTTTCATTCAACACCCCCCCAAAAAAAGTTGCTATGGGATCTGTAGATTTTGTTTGCTGAGTATCCCTAATTTTGGAATTCCCTCTGTTCTAAGTTGCCCCATTCTTGGTACTAATTTCAAATGGCTGTGGGGGAGGGGAGGCTAGCTTCAGACAAGATTCCACTAAGAGTTTTACTTCTGAGCTGGGATAGAAGCAGGAAAGAATAACAGGAAAAACATGCAGCATCCCATCTCTGCACTTTGCATTTAGTTATAATTATTCACGCAGGAGCATCTTTAAACACCAAACGAGGGAAATATTACAGTTGTTCTGATTTCACATGCTAACTGTGTTTACATGCTAACAGCATTTCTCAGGGACAATTATCTTATTACTAGTGCACTAATCTTTTCAATCTTTTCAACACATTTTACAGCTGCAGACTTCAAAAATTAAGGCTAATTAAGACCTTGCTTTCAGCAGGTACAGTAAACTACTCACATTCCAACATGGTAAAAGAAAATCAGTTTAGGGGAAAGGGTGTTAGAGGGGCACAGTGTCAATGGCAGACAGAATACATTAGATAGCTTCCATCAGTGTGAGGACTACAACTCTCCCAATGCTAATGTTCAAGAACAAGTTCCATTAATGGTAAGGCCTGTCGAATTCAGGACCAAGGACAGCTGGTCTGGCCCATTTTTAAGAGAAAGTGGGTATTTTGCATTCAATTATCCGTTTCCATTCATTATCTTCTTCCGTGTGACTTCAGCATAGAATAGTGGCTAAGAACATGGAAACTTGTATCAGAGTCTCTGTGTACAAATGCCGGCTCAATTATTTTCCGTTTGAACTTGAGCAAATTACTTGAGATCTTGGTGCCTCAGTTTCCTCATATGCGAAGTAGGAATAATAATAATGACATATACCTACTTCCCAGGCCTGTTATTAGGATTCACCGAATATCTGTAAAGCACTTACAACAATGTCTGATCATAATAAATCATCAAATACGTATTTCTTTTAAAAAGTGTGGTCTATAAGGACTAACAACAAACATCTGTTTTCTAACACGTTCTTGACCTCACATGTACTCACTGCATTATGGGCCATTTGAGGGCTGCTAATATATAATCATAGCTATATTTATTGTGCCTGTTAGCAATACATTCTCCAGTTACTTGCCCTGCTATCTCATTAGCTGCCATATAAAACCAGCACCTTGGATCATCCAATATTATTTTTTGTTTTGTTTCGTTTTAAATCACAGAGAAGCAGAATGCTCTCTGAAGGGCTGTTGTTGGAATCCATATTCACAGTCCAGCTTCTCAGATCCCAAGCAAAAGCTCTGGCATCCCAAGTTGTGGCGTCTGAGAAACCAGTAATCAGCGTCTACAGTGCTCGGGCCACTGACGTTCATCAGGCACCTACTATGTGCCTCAACCTAGGCTTGAGAGGCTGCTTTTTGAATGCTCACACCAACTCTGTGGGGAAGATAATGCTGGCCCCATTTTATAGATGAGGAAACTGAGGCTTCAGACAATTCTACAGCCACAAAACTTGTGAATAAAACAAAGTTACCGTGTAGTACACGTGTTTCATTCTCTCCAGCCACACACTTTTAAGCCAGCTGGCGGAATTTCTCAAGATGATGAATACTATTATTTTTACTAGCTGTAGAACTCATAATAATGGTTGTTACCATCAACACCAACATACAGCATGTGCCAGGCACTGACATATTTTACTCACTTAATTCTGACAACTGCCCTTAAGGAATGGACTCCTATTAGCCTCTATTTACAGATGAGGGACCTGGGCTCAGAGAGGTTATGCCATGTGCCCAAAGTCACACAGCTGCACAGTGTTGGAGCTAGAATTTGATCAAATTCAGGAGATCCAGCTTGAGAACACTGCTCGTGAACACTATTCTCCAGCCTCTCGTAATACCTATAAAATTCAACAACTGTCTCCTTTTCAATGGACACATAAGGTATCTTTAACAAGATAGCTACAGGGAGTATTGATTCCATCATCTTATATCAAACAACTGATTGCAAAATTGGTGATTTAGTTAGATTTGTGATAAATGCTGCCAAAGGGGAGAAGGTAGGGACAGAAAACACAGGAACTTCATCCAGGAGAGAAGATCAGAAAGGTTCTTTCAGAAAGGGAGAATTAAACTGGCTGCCAAAGAATGAGTGAGAATCAACTTGTCCAAGGTAGAGGAGAGGACAAGCATTTTAGGCAGAAGGAGAAGCATGAATAAAGGCTCTGTGGTGGGAAGGCACTCATAATTTTGAGGACACAAAGAAAGGAAGTCTGAATCTAGAATCAACATTGAGAAGGTGAGTAGCATATGATAAAGTGGTAGGATTTGGTGTAGGGGCCACCAGGTCAGGGAGTCCCTTTGGGTGCTAGGAAGGAGCTTGAGTCTTATCCAAAGAGCAACAGGGAGTCACTGCCAAAGTTCCTGTGTAGATTGATTGGAATCTTCATCAGGATCAGCCTTCACTCCTACTCCCTAGATTATAATATTTGGCTTTTACATAATCAGATCCAAAGGTACTTCTGAAAACCAACTCAGTGAATCAGCACACTGAAGATTTTCAAAATAAGTCTCAAATAATTCCTATTCCCCATTTTTAGGGATCATGATATAACCCACACGGTCTAAGACATTATGTTGCTACTACCATGCCGTACTAATTATTCAACCCTCAGTATTGTTATTACAGACAGAAAAAAAAAAACAAGAGGTGATATCTTGTAACATGAAAGTCAAAAAAAATCTTTTTTCTGTCTAAAATAGAAGGACAAAAAAAATCAATCTAGGTTAGAAAACATCAATTTGCAAGAGTTCTATGGCTGAGGAAAATGGCATGAGTATTTGTAGGCTGAAACAAATGAGCAGCTAAAACATCCCCCCACCACCTCCCACACATAACCAAATGGGACAGACTACTTCTGGCATGTTTCCATTTACTCACACCTACAATGTGCTAGGTGCTATGGTTTATTTCAACCCCATAACCAGTGTGACCAAGCATCCCAGCTTGCCTGGGACTGAGGATATGGGACGTTCAGCACTAAAAATCAGGCATATCCCAGACCAACTAGGACACACTGGTGGCTCAACCTGCAACAACCACAGCTATTAATATAAGGCAGACACAGGCTCAGAGAGGTGGAGACACTTGTTAATGTCACACAGCAGGTAAGGGGCAGAGACCAAGATTCAAGTTCCAGTCCGTGCAACTTCAAATCCTATAATAACATTTCTTAGGCACTTATTATGGACTAGGTAGTGCTTTAAGCCCATTTAGAAGCATTATAAGCATTAATTAATCCTCGCAACATCTCTATGAAGTACATACTATTCTGGGTCTTGTTTTATAGATGGAAAATTCAAAGCTAAGATTAGCTAATAACTCACCCAAAATCCCCCAGCCAAGAGGGACCTGGCTTTAGTGCCTATATTGTTAACCGGCCCATCCAACAGACCCCTGGGCAAAAACCCTGTCGCAATGCAAAAAAAAAAATAAAATTTTAGCTGTTTCTTGTTCAAGATAACATTTAAAACACACACACACACACACACACAGAAAAGATTAGACGAGAGGTCTGGAAAAACAAGTTGCTCTGAGTCTTACAGCCACCACAAAGCAGGAATTGCTAGTGGCTGCTGATTTACAAGGCTCTCTGGTGAATTACAGAAAGGGAAATACAGTCAGATTTGATAAGGCTGGTCAAGTTCGGTGCTCAAGAGCAGTCCATGATCCAGAGAGGCCGGGAACATGCTCCTGGGCCCTCGTGCCCATCAGATCAATCCCCACCGGCCAGGTGGATGGGTCTGCTGTTGGGACAGGCAGCCTGGAACCACATTTCCACGCTTCAGATAAAGGTGGCTTCCGGAGCCCGGCCTTTCACTACCATGCCCTGGGGGCACCACAGGCAAAGACCCAGACTTGAACGGCTGGAGCCACTGGTGTCCCTACGATGTATGTGCAGGGGGAGGTGGCAGTGTTGAAAAGGGACGGTCATCACTGCACCACCATTACCATTAGCATTAATCACTGAGTGTGTTTGCTTGCGTCAGAGCCTGTACTGTTAATAAACCCTGACCTGTGTATCCAACCACTTTACAGAGAAGGAAGTGGGACTGTGGATCACAGCCAGCGTTGCCCTAGGGCTTAGAGGGGCCCATCCCACTGTGCTTTCACGACCTGGTGGCAGTGGTTCTCAACCAGGGGGGTGGTTTTGTCCCCCAGGGAACATTTGACACTGTCTAGAGACACGCTTATTTGTCATAACTTGAAAGGGAGCGTGTACTGGCACCTAGAGGGTAGAGACAGGGATGGCGCTCCATATCCTACAATGCACAGGTCAGCTGATCCTTTATCCAGCCCCAAACATCTATAGTATGGGGCTGAGAAACCCCAACCTAAGAGGACAGAGGTAGGCCAACCACAGCCAGCCAAGCTTGCAGGTTGTGTCCTTCCAGACCCTTCCTCAGGGTACCAGCCACTCAAACTAGAAGCCAGTGCTCAAGAGGATGGGTGATGTCTCTTTTGCTCACAGCTGCATCTGAAGGGCCTAAAACAGATTTGGTGACTTGTCTTTTCTGTTAAAGAACAGGGACCTGGCTGGGCACAGTGGCTCACGCCTATAATCCCAACACTTTGAGAGGCCAAGGCAGGAGGATCACTTGAGGTCAGGAGTTCAAGACCGGCCTGACCAAGATGGTGAAACCCCGTCTCCACTAAAAACACAAATATTAGCTGGGCATCATGGCTTGCACCTGTAATCCCAGCTACTTAGAAAGCTGAGGCAGGAGAATCGCTTGAATCCGGGAGGCGGAGGTTGCAGTGAGCCGAGATTGTGCCATTGCATTCCAGCCTGAGCAACAAGAGCAAAACTCTGTCTCAAAAAAAAAAAAAAAAAAAAAAAAAATAGGGACCAAATGACGAATGAACAAGAAATGCACCCAACCAGGCCAGGTGTGGTGGCTCACACCTGTAATCCCAGCACTGTGGGAGGCCAAAGCAGGCAGCTCACTTTAGGTCAGAAGTTCGAGACCAGCCTGGCCAATATGGTGAAACACCATTTCTTCTAAAAATACAAAAATTAGCCGGGCATGGTGGCACATGCCTGTAATCTCAGCTCCTCAGGAGGCTGAGGCAGGAGAATTGCTTGAACCCGGAAGGTGGAGGGTGCAGTGAGCCAAGATCGCACCACTGCACTCCAGCCTAGGTGACAGAGTGAGACTCTGCCTCACACACACACACAAAATTAGGTACTATTCTGGGTCTTGTTTTTATAGATGGAATAGTCAAGGCTCAGATTAACTAATAACTCACCCAAGATCCCCCAGCCAGGAAGAAGGACCTGGTTCTAGTGCCTATGTTGTTAACCTGCCCATCAAACAGACCTGTTGGGACCTCATGAGGCCAGACACTAACCCCCTGTCCTCAGCTAGACATGGCGATAGAGTTCCCATTGTCTGGATGGCAGAATCTTCCCATCACTGCAGTGGTTCAAGACATCCAGGCTCTTTGTTTGGCGGGACAGCCAGCCTGCTCTATTCTCAGGGGAAGGGCTTTGAGAATGGCTTATTTAGCTCACTCCCCAAGAAGCTTATCACCCCAACCCCACCCCTGCCCAACAAACACATTCCCATCAGGAAAGCTGGACGACCCTGCCTTCCATGGAATGGAAGCTATGATCCCATCCATTCAGTTCAGCCTCTCATAAACGCTCTGTTCCAAACATAACCAGAATAGTCAGGGAGTCCTCGAAACCCAGACATGACTTATTTTCTATTTCTAGCTTAACCACGTGATGCCTGTGAGTTTCAAGCACTGGAGCATCCCCATTCACGCTGGAACCATCTCATCTAGAAAGGGGAGGGTGTACAAGCAGCTCTGGATCAGCCCACTGGGGTTCAGAACAAGCAAAAGAATTTCTTTACCTCCCCTGAGTTTCAGCCTCAAAGAGCAGCAAAGAACCTGGAGCCCATTAAATCCAGCTGTGCTCATTGTACAAAGGGAAGAACTGAGGCTTTGGAGGACAAAGAAGATACCCAGATGATCTGCATTGCTCTTTTTCTCCCTTGCTTCTTTCTCTCTTGTTGAATTGGAATAGGTCAAACCTGTCTACAGTACTCAAATGTCACGGGGGTTTCCTCCACTAGGCATGGGGCAGAGCTTATTCTCAATAAATGTTCGAGAATGAAACGTCAGCAATTAACTAGCAGGCAACTTTGGAGAGGATTTCACTTCCCCTATAATTAAACACAACAAATGGCACGAATGTTGAAGGGACAATATGCATGGGTGTGTGTGAGAAAGAGGAAGAGACTGCAGTTCCCATACCAAATAGGTATTTATTTGTTCCAAGACTTTTTTTTTTCACCAAAAAATGCTTTAATATAATCACCTTTTAAATAATATACACTGTCATCTTGATTATGTCTATTGGGCTTACTCAAAGAGGCCAGGACCTTGCAGAGAAATGAGCCTGAGGTTTCCTTCTGCCAGGTCACCAGTCAATGGATATTTCCCAAAAGGTGGATCTTTTAATATATGACTGCATAATTTAACCTAAAATCCTAGTTAGTATTCTAGCAAGATGTCTCCTTCTAATTGAGGTAATTTCTAGGAATATGTTGCTAAAAGTTTCCTTTTCTTCAAATAAAGCAATAACTGCCATTTATGAAGCACGTATTAGGTGCCAGGTACTTCACTGGCCTTAACTCTTTGTAACTCATGTTTTCACCGTCACGACAACACTGTAAGGCAAATTACGACCAGTTCACAGCCAGGAAAACTGAGACTGAGGCAGAAAAGTAACTGGCCCAGTGCTGCAGAACCAGTAAGAGGCTGAGCTGGGGTTAGAACCTAGGAATGACTCTCAAGTCCAAGCTCTTTATACTGTATTCTCCTAAGCTCAGATTAAAACCCACTCCATCCCCTACTTTCTTAGTATTTCTTCATAGACAGAATATTTCAAGGAATTTAACTTTTACCACAAGGGATACAAAACAAGGAATGAGAGGACCTGTCTTACCTCCGCTTTATCACAACCACTTTGCAAAGTTACTGAGATTCAACAGCTTTGTCTGCTAAATGGGCACATAGCCCTTCAACCACTCCTTTGCTTTGCTGCCAGAAACAAAGGAAAAGGCAGGAAAAAAGTGCATATTTCTTCCAGAATTGTCAGAGGCCAGCAGATCTTCCTGCAGGATGTCAGCCTAAGCAATCTTTCAAATGCTCCCCGGGCAGGCAGCCCAACCCACCACACTCCGCTCCAAGGAGACACCTCCTAAAATAAACCCTGCTAACTTCAGTTAGCTCACCCTAAAGACTATATATAGAAGAAAAGACTCAGGAGTTCCCATTTGGCAGCAGCTTCTCCAAAACTCAGCGCAAATGGCTGATTTCTAACTTAATCTCCAACATCTGACAGGCGGCTTTAAATCAGGGAGGCCGACTAAGAGATGGAAAACCTCTGTGAGGCCAGCCCAGCCTGCCTGGGGGCAGAGACACCCCAGGGCTTTTCAGCAAACTGGAATGGCATGAAAATGGGAACCTGGCCCCCGGAGGATGCGGGAGAGAAATTAGACAAGGTGTGGTGGGTGGGAGCAGGATCCAGCCCAGCCAGGCCACTGGGCATGTTGTGGGGGTAGCTGGGGGTAGAGGACAGTGATCTGTACAGAGGCACTGCTGTGAATTCTGAATCTTGGTGTCTTCTGGGCCTCATGTTATCCTAGAGAATAACAGAAAGCCAGGGAAAGCTTTGAGTCTCCACATCTATGAAATGAAGGATATCTCTCTCTCTCTCTCTCTCTCTCTCTCTCTCTCTCACACACACACACACACACACACACACACACCCCTTACCTCCAGAGAGCCAGACATTCACTCTCAAGACACTTTTGAAAATACTGGTCTTTCCAAAGACCATCATTTGTATTTGTATTTGAAAGATTGCTTAGGCTGAATTCTGTAGGAAGACCTGCTGGCCTCTGATAGTTCTGGAAGAAATATGCACTTTTGTCTCCATTTTCCTTTGTGTCTGGCAACAATGCTAAGAGGTGGTTGGAGGGCTGGGAGCAGTGCCTCACACCTGTAATCCCAGCATTTTGGGAGGCCAAGGCAGGCGGATCACTTGAGGTCGGGAGTTCGAGACCAGCCTGGCCAACATGGTGAAACCCCATCTCTACTAAAAACACAAAAATTAGCTAGGCATGGTGGTGCACACCTGTAATCCCAGCTATTCGGGAGGCTGAGGCAGAAGAATCACCTGAACCCAGGAGGCGGAGGTTGCAGTGAGCTGAGATCATGCCACTGAACTCCAGCCTGGGCGACAGACCCAGAATCTGTCTCTAAATAAATAAATAAACAAATAAATAAAAATAAAAAGAGGTGGTTGGAGCGAGATGTGCCCATTTAGCAGACGAAGCAGTTGACTCTCAGTAACTCTGCAAAGTGGTTGTATATCCCATGGAAGGATATACAAGAAATTGTTAGCAATGATTCCTTTAAAGACAGAGACTGGAAAAGAAGGAGAAGTCTCCTATTTTATATCCTTTTCTCATGGGGGAATTTTGTTATCACATGCTTATACTCCTTATATTTAAAAAGCAAGTGTCATTCACAGATGGAGGGATAATAAGGTGGCTTCTCAAAAAATTAAATATAGAAAAACTAGATGTCAAATGCTATATAATCAGCAATTCCTCCTCTGGGTTCACAACCTAGTGAAAAGAAGGGGCTTGAACAGCTATTGGCATATCTGTGTTCAAAGCAGCATTACTCACAGTAGCTAAAAGGGGAAAGCTAGCCTAGTGTCCCTCCTGGAAGATCTGCGTGGATAAACCAAATGCAATACACACATACCATGGACTAGTCAGCCTTAAAAAGGAAGGAAATTCTGACACATTCCGTGACAGGGACAAACCTCAAAGACATTATTTATGCTAAGAGAAACCAGCCAGTTACAAAAGGACAAATACTGTGTGATTCCACTTATAGGAGGTACTTAGCGTAGTCAAAATCATAGACACAGAAAGAAGAATGGCAGTTTCCAGGGGCTGGGGGTGAGAGTGGACAATGAGGGGCTATACTTTGTTGTCGTTGTTTCTTTTTTTGTTTGTTTTGGCCTGCAAAGCGTTTTAGAACTTTTCAATTAATCGCTAATGTTTGAAACTCAGAAAATGTAAACAAATCTAGAGTGAGAGAAAGCTCATCAGTTGTTTGCCTGTGGATGGGGTTTGGGGAAGAGGGAGGTAGTTATTGTAAAGAGAAATAAGAAAATCCTGGGGGTGATGTTCATTATATCCAATAATTTGGGGTGATGATGTCACAGGTGGATACAGATATCAAAACTCATCAAATTTTACACTTTGAATATGCATAATTTATCACAAGCTAATTACATTTCAATAAAGCTGGACAATTTTATTTATTTCATGCTATTCAAACAAAAAAGAAAAAAAAGAACAAATAAAAGGCAACACCTTTTTTTTTTTTTTTTTTTTTGAAATGGAGTCTCACTCTGTCACCCAAGCTGGATTGGAGCGCAGTGGCATGATCTCGGCTCACTGCAACCTCTGCCTCCCAGTTTCAAGCAATTCTCCTGCCTCAGCCTCCTGAGCTGGGATTACAGGCATGCACCACCATGCCTGGCTAATTTTTGTATTTTTAATAGAGACGGGGTTTCACTATGTTGGCCAGGCTGGTCTTGAACTCCTGACCTCAAATGATCCACCCACCTCAGCCTCCCAAAGTGCTGGGAATACAGGTGTGAGCCACTGTGCCTGGTCGCAATATCTTAATAAAATAAATGGAGATTGAATTATTAATAGAAAATGTCTAACATTTTAGTTCTGACAGTCTATGAAATTGATTCTAAATCCAAGGAAACATTACAGAAGGAGAAATTAAGATTTCTAGGAATGAATTTATTTACTCAACTAACAGTGGCAATGGATGTGGGCTAACAGTGCACTTCAACTTTATCTCAGTTAATCCTCACTGCAAGCCCATGAAGCATCTGTTGGTATTTTCCCCATTGAACAGATGACAATACTGAGGCACAGAGAGGCCACCTTCCAGAATTGGGATGAGGGCAGGGATGATTCCAGAGTCCATGCTCTTACCCACTGTGCCGTGCCCCCTCCCTCAATTGTCATTGGACACCCACTATGTGCTGGGCACTCTCTTGGCTAGATTCACAGTGAGAGAAGCCACTTTGGGCCAAAAGGCTGCAAGAAGGGGCAAATGGAGATGCCGGTATTTGGGCCTCTCCATCTTTCTGGGGTGGAAAGTATCACTGCACATCATCACAGGTACACGGAGAGCTCCACGGTGGGCCCATTTCAGCAAGAGGCATTTTAAGGTCCCAGGAATTGTCCAAGGCACTGCTGCCCCATAAAACTTTCTGTGATGATAGAAACAGTCTCTGTACTGACCCCAGTGGAACTCACTAGCCACACGTGGCTGCCCACCACTTGAAATGTGGCTGTTACAAATGTGGAATTGCATTTCTAATTCTATTTAAGATTACTGAATTTCAGTGTTAATGGGACCCCACACAGAGTGGATTGCACAGTGTCACTGTGTCAGCAGAGCACAGCCTGGAGATCAAAGCACAGCACAAAGGTTGGCATCTCAGGACTCGGGGCAGGCCAGCCAAGAGTGCAACCAGCACAGCACATGGGAGATGAACTTGGCCCTACAGAGGAGCCAGTGTAACTGCCTCTGAATGCCCCCTTATCTACGTTTGAGTCAACCAGGATACTGAGGGCCATGTGGACCACAACACACATGCTCCAGATAACAGTCCCCATACTCCAGATAACGGTCCCCATACTGGCACTCACTATCCCAGACGTCTCGTGCAAGACACTTTAGTGCATTACTTCCTAGAGACCGCAAGAAGGAGTAACTCCCATCCCCATTACCCAGGTGAGGAAACTGAGGTACAGAGAAATGAAGCAACATACTCAAGGTCACAGTCACTGGCAAAGCTGGGATTTGAACCCAGGAGGTTTGACTGCAGAGGACAAATTTCAAACAACTACCCAGTCCCATCTCCCAAGACAGAGTCACACCATGCCGCCTGTCCTGAGACCCACGTACTCACTTCCAACAAGCTGCAGGCAGAGGCTTTCCTTTTGGTGGGAGGAGAAAAGCCAGGCTTCCCATGGAGAGAGTGAGAAAGACACAGTCACAATCCCAAGCACAGGGACAGACCGTTCCTTCTAAACCACCGTCACTAGCCACAAACACAGGAAATGCACAGCAGCTTCACATCTTCCTCCTCATTTTGCACGGCCCATTCTCTCTGCCAGGAATCCCTTCTTCTCTTGCCCACCTGGAGGATTCATATTTATCCTTCCCAATTCAAGACGTTTTATTGGAAACCTTTCCTGACCTCCGAAGATAAGTAGACCACTCCCTCCTCAGCTAGCTGGTTGCGGTCACTGCCACCACGACTCTATCCTGTAATTACTTCTCTCTAAGCACCCATCTTCCTCACTCCACTGTAACATTCAAGATTCCTTGTGGCAGGGGCTGGGTCTTATCCACTTGTTTTCCCAGAGCCAAACAGGGTGTCTGACATACGGTCCTGGCTCGGCAACTGTTGACTTGCAATGGCAATGATAAGATGAATGATTTCAACAAAAGGAACATTTACATTTTAAGAGCTGAATCAAGAACTCGCTTATGTCAAAGAAAGAGACTAGTGAGTATCCCTCAATGTCTTGGGCACTGGAAACAGGCCAGGGTGTGTTTTCCAACTCAGCTACTTTCTATAATAGCTGTGTGACCCAAAGTGGAATTTTCTTTTTTTTTTTTGAGACGGAGTTTCACTCTTGTTGCCCAGGCCAGAGTGCAATGGCAAGATCTCGACTCACTGTAACCTCTGCCTCCCAAGTTCAAGTGATTCTCCTGTCTCAGCCTCTCGAGTAGCTGGGATTATAGGTGCCCGCCACCACGCCTGGCTAATTTTTGTATTTTTAGTAGAGACAGGGTTTCGCCATGTGGGCCAGGCTGGTCTCGCCCTCCTGACCTCAGGTGATCTGCCTGCCTCCACCTCCCAAAGTGCTGGGATTATAGGCATGAGCCACCGCGCCGGCCCCTAAGTGAAGTTTTAACCTCTTAAAGCTTTCCGGTTTCCCTCCATAAGATGAGGATAACATTAGGATCGGCCTCTGGGGGTTGCTGGGAGGATCACCTGGGCTAATAATGTATGTAAAACACTTGGCATAGAACCTGGGCTTCTATAAAGCAGTTCCAGCCCTGGGCCCAAAGGATCAGAATGAAAGCAAATGAGCAGGTAGGAGTTGATGCTGTACAACCAATCCCAGGTAAGTAGGTGGTTTTGCCAATTTCTTCTCCTTTAGTCCCACCAAGTTCTGAGAGACCCTGGGCCCATTCTGTCTCTCGGCTGGCCAGACCCGGTTTTCAGGGGCCCTCAGAAAAGAGGTCACCCACTGATCACCTCCCTAGCTGAATCTGACTCTTATATATTTTGTTTTGAACTGCAAAGTGTTTTTAAATTTTTCAATTAGCCGCCAATGTTCAAAGCTCAGGAAGACTGTGCATTCAAATTCTGGATGTCTAACCTTCTTTGAAAAATTAGATTTGGCCTCACTGGGTTCATACTTTGAATTGACTGAATCTGAGAGGCACTGTCTACTTCAGATGTGGTGTGGGAGTGCCCAGTCCCCATGTGGCCAGGACACTTGTTCTCACTACCAACCCTGCCCAGAAAACATCTAACTTTGCAACTCCTGCCCTAGGGAAGGAAGTTGGCCAGAAATAGGCTGTTTTATTTAGCAAAGCTATTAGCTAAAAGCAGGGAGCAGCTCCGAGGGTGAGTAAAAATCCGCATTCCAAACTCATCTGACTTCTCTTTGACAGCACCGGTATGTAAAGATACAGATGAATTAATCATTCCGTTTAGTAATAAACTAACCCTGTTGTTGCTGCCTCTGTCATGGAGAAAGCAAAAAATCAATCGCTGGTGGAAGCACTTCTCAATCTACACCTGACAGAGGGGCGACAGTTAGTGCTGTCCTATTCCCAGCATCGGGCCTGGAGGAATTCCTGATTTTAGGTGACTGCAGAGTCCTTGAAGGAGGTAAAAGCTGCTCACAGCCTGACAGTTCTCTGCATTTACTCCCAAAGAGGAGATGACGGAGCAGAGAGACATGATCCGATGAAGAGACAAACCTGTCCATGTCACTCACCTTTATGTCTTATTGGAAGTGTCACCTCTTCGTAGATGTGACAACTGAACCTAGTAAATAGAGGCCCCCGCTGCCTGCCCCATCCCCATAACACACATAAACACACATACACACACACACACACACACACACACACACACACACACACACCTATGTACTCCACTGTTGGCCTCCCTGGAACATCTGCCAGAGGCTGTAATATCTTATTTGTTCTCTTGTGTGCTCTTTTCAGCTATATTATATGCTGTACGAAGAAAGTAGCCTTGTCTGATTTGATCTGTTTCCAGCTACTTGTCTGTTTCTGGCACCTCACATAGCCCTTGGCACCCAACGAGCCCTTCCTGAAAATTTGCAAATGCATTTTTGACACAATACACGGTATTCTGTAACGTTTCCAAACTTCCAATGCCCATGCACTAGTTTCACGGTTTTTGCCATATTTCTGTACCACCCAGTCCAGTAACTCAGTATTTTCTTCAACCAACTCTCATCTTGTAGTGAAATAGATCTCTTTTTAAAATAAAGCTTTACGGCCATGCATTTGGTCAATAGAGAGACACCTGTAATTGATGAGCTCTGGAGTTGACAGTCACCTATGAGCAGTGTGACCCTGGACAAGTGAGTTAACAACAGTCTATGAAATTGATTCTAAATCCAAGGAAACACTACAGAAGGAGAAATTAAGATTTCTAGGAATGAATTTATTTACTCAACTAACAGTGGCAATAGATGTGGGCTAACTGCACTTCATCTGCAAAACAGCACTAACAATAGCACCTACTGAATACAGAGGTGGTTCAAGGGTAAATGACTTAAAACATGTAAAGTTAATTTACGGCAAGTGCTTCCAATAGTGCCTGCCACAGAGCCAACACGATATGAATACTGCTTGTATTGGTATTATTTAGGGGGGAAAACCGGTATCGCTTTAAATAAATACATGACAATTAAAAAAATCACTTATGTAACAGCTGAGAAACACTTTTGGAGACATGGGCTAAGCCTGAGTTTTACTGCTACCCAAATGTGAAAAGCACCCCCTTCGCCAGGTCCTCATCTCCCATCTTTTAAATGAAGATGTTGGGCCGGGCACTCTAAGATTCCATCCATCTTCCAGTTCTGAATCTCTGACTCTCAGTCATGGATAACACTACCTTAAAAGAAATAAAATAGGAAAAACCTGAATTTACACAATAAGCTCAAAAGGAAAGAGCTGGAGGCGGGGAGGTTATTCACATTCCCAAAGGATTTGCTTTTACAAAGGGATTAACAGCAGAGTTGCTTTAAATAGCAGCTTAAGCCTTGTTTATGGATTACTAGATACTTGATGGAGAGGTGGAGGGGCTCAGGAACTTGGAACAAAAGCTTTACTACACCCAGGCAGAAATGAAAAAGCGCATATGTTTTCTTTAAAATTACAATACACATCAACAGGAGAAATGATTCCATTTCAAGGAAGCTGATTCCTACTCAGTATTTCCGTTGCATGTCAATTGCATCCAAGAAGATATGCCTGTATCCACGAGCCAGTTTAGAGCAGTAATCCAGTGTTCATATTTTTAAGCCCCTATTATAAGAGCACTGATAATTTATTAAATGTCCCAGGCACTGTTGAGCATATGACATGCATTACCTCATCTAATCTTCACAGTAACCCAATAAGGCAGGTGTAGTTGTCATCATCCTTTTACAGATGAAGAAACTGAGGCTAAGAGAGGGGAAGTGACTCACCCATGTCAAAAGATGGCAAATTTAATAGTCAAGCCAAAGCGCATGAACCTGGCTCTGAGGTTAGATTATAAAAGGTAAGATCCTTGTCTCAAAGAGGGCACAGAACAGCCACGGAGGTCAACAGACTCAGAGGAGGATGATAAATGCCCCAAGAGACACCTTTGAGGGAGCAGAAGAAGAGGATATCAAGGTCTAGGGTGTGCCCAAAGCCAGGAGTGACCTCATCTGACCCCCAGGTGTCCATATTCGAGCATCTCTAAACACTCAGTGTATGGATTCCTCTCCTCCATCCTTCATGCATAGACCCTCTTATCTGTACCTCCCTATGCACAAACCAATGTGTCCTAGGCCACTCTATTCCCGAAAGGTGGGCTGTGGGACTGGAGGCAAAGAGAGAAAGAACAACTGTTGCAGGGTCTCTGCCAGCACCCACACTGCTTCACTAGACTACCTGAGAGCTTCCCATTGCCTGGTTTTCCTCCTTTGAAAAATGGGGATATTCGCCACCCCCCACCTCCCTCAGCAGGGAAGCACTAGTGATTAATTAGGTAACATCTGTGAAGCACTCCCAGCTTTCCGGAGAAGGGCACCTTGGGAGAGGAGCTATAAAAACCTGAGGCACAGGCTATTATCAGCGTGATCATTATTATCATCATTGTCATTATGACATTCTCCTGCCCAAAGACCTGCAGTGGCTCACCACTGCCCAGAGAAGAAGGTGCCATTGGCTGCCTGGCAGGCAAGGGAACCGCTGCTACCCCCTCCCTGGACTCTCCCACCCCCATGCATCTCTAACCAATAATACCCTATATGTGAGTCCTGCAACTTCCACATGGAACCCCTTCTCCTCAGAGCAGCTCCAGTCTTGCCCGGTCCAAGAACCTTTCCTAACCACGTAGGCTGGAAGCTCAACATTGGCATGCCTATTTCTGCTGTAGACACCAAGATTTTTCTCCTCGTGAAGATTCTATTCAGAGGAATACACAAGTGCATAAAAAACAGTGATATTGCATGAGTTTCTCTTTTCCCAGAGCTATAAAACAAAGATGCTACACAAACCATGACTCAGTATCTTAGACTGATGCTCGTGACTTATAATGGGTTAGATCCAATAAACCCACCGTAAGCTGAAAATAGCCTAAGTTGAAAATGCATTTAACGCACCTAACCTACCGAATATCACAGCTTAGCCAACCCTGCCTTAAACATGCTCAGAACACTGACATTAGCCTACAATTAGGCAAAATCATCTAATACGAAGCCTAGTTTATAATGAAGTGTTGAATACTGTACATGGACATTTTGCAGACATGACAGGATGCTAAAACACAAAACACACTATCCAAATACATCGCTAGCCTGAGAAAAGATCAAAACTCAAAATTCGAAGTAAGGCTTCTGCTGAAGATACATCGCTTTGCACCAACGTAAAGTTGTAAGTCAAACCCACTGTGAGTGACTGTCTGTGTCTCTGATTAGATGATAAGCATGTAGAGGACCAGAGAGAGTTCAGATAAAGTCTACAATTCATGAACAGGGCCTCAGGAACTAGTTAAGGGAACAAGCACGGTCTCTGGGTTCAGACAGACCAGAGCTCCCCATTCTGCCTGTCACCACCTCCCTGAGCCCCAACTTCTTCCTCTGCAAAATGGAGACCAGCATACTTAATATGAACAGTTAAAGAAAAAACTAATCCGGATTAAGTAAGGAGAAACATCATTGGAAAGGATTATTGCGAAGGGCAGAAAGGAAAAATCACACTACGGAGGGTGCTTTACCATAAGATCTTAAGGATCCTGAAGCATCTCAAAGGCTAGGCAAAAAGGAGTTTTCTTTTAACAAAAAGGAGAAACAAAAGCAGGTTTGGGGAAGAAAGGATGGTATGATCAGAGAGTAGATCAGAGAATGTTTTACCCTGATGCCAGCCTTTTCTCAGGAGGGGCTGTGTGCTGGCTCACGCTCAGTGTGGGTCAAGGCAAAAGCACCTGGAGGAAGAAGAGAGTCTGATCCAAAGTCTGGTGATCAAGCATGTTGTTCTGATTGATCAGTGGGAATGAGCAGCCAGCTCATCCTTTATAAGGTAACAAATGGGAATATGCAGGGTCTGGGTCTAGCCCTGTCCTGGGGAAACAAAAGGGTATCCACGAGTTGTAGCTAAGTCACGTGGGCAACACTGGTTCTTTGCAGCGAGGCATTTTCTGCAACACAAACAGGTGAGTGGATTCCTTTAACCTTTGTTCTTTTGCAGGAGCACAGGGCTCAAGTAAAATTCAGCATTGTTGATCCCCAAGAAAGTGGCTGTGTAGATTCAATGTGCCAATGCATAGAAAGCCTTTAACAAATTGAGTTTTTATCATTTTTATTTTTCTTAGAGATAGGGTTTCACCCTGCCACTCAGGCTGGAGTGCAGCGGCACGATCCTGGCTCACTTCAGCCTCAACCTCCCGGGCTCAAGTGATCCTCCCACCTCAGCCTCCTGAGTAGCGAGGACTACAGGTACACGCCACCACACCTCGCTACTATTTTTGTTTAATTATGGTTTATCTGCAGGATAGTATAGAACAATCATTGTAAGAGGCAGAAGGTTGAGAAAGGAGTACAGACATTCTGGAGGTGTCTTGCAAATAAATATGCAGCCCCGGAGTGGATCTGTTTAGCCAGCCAGGCATAGAACACTTCTGACTCACACTGGACTTTCTGTCTGATCAGCCCCAGGCCATTTTTACATCATCTTCTCTTAAGCAAGACAGGTCTTCAGCCTAAAACACATCCAACATAGTCCCTGGCGATTGAGAAGTTCAAAGAAAAATAAAGTGAAATATACAGCCCACCACTGCAATCCATCCAAGAATCAAAGGGTGTAGGCTTCAAGACAGGATGGAGAACCAGGAGTTAAACAAAATTCTCCACTAACTTTTTATCCTCTGCTATAATCAGTGGCATGCAAACCTGTTTTAAATTTACCGACAGCTTAAGCTGCCACCCAGGTCTTGAGGTATTTTTAGTCAACTAGAAATTCATTTAGAGCCTGAAGTCAGGGAAGGGAATCGTGTCAGGTGTGGCTCCTGCAGGATTCAGGTCGTGCCCTGTACCTGCTTTAGTTACCACTCCTCATTTGCACACAATTAAATAATCACTTCACCCCCTGCCCATCTCTTCAGCATCTTCAGCATCTCCTCACAAAGCAGCAGGAGAGGGGAATAAAACGTCAGGGAAGTCAACTCTAGGTTTAAGAGATCTGTTCTTAATCCGAACATCATTTCCATTAGCAGAAACAAACTCAACAGGGGGAGGCGAGTACAAGGAATATAGGGCCCTGAGCCGAACCAAAAGAGAACAAATTCCTCTTTCCCCACTCAAAACAGGCCTATCCAATAAAGTTGCGGCTGTATGTACGTGAATAAGCTGCCAGCAAGAACGAGGCAGACACAGGAGGAATGAAATTAATACTTCGGGGTGGGGAGTGGTAAGAAGGTGCCTAAGTCGAAAGCAAAACCACCCACCCTAGTGTACAAGCCAAGCATGGAGGAGGCACCTTCAATGCCTCTTTATCCTTCAGGCCCCTGTGGCCAACACATCTCCAATTCACTGGTAAGTCAACAGAGTCTGTCCAGAACTTGAAACTGCCTTTGCAAAAACGGTAACAGTGAGAAAATTATGACAGTGAAAGAGGTCTGATCTAACCAACCCCCATCTTGCCTTTACCTCCAAACCGCTCATGATCATTCCTGGGCTTGGGTCAAGCTAACTTTCAGAGACATTTAGTTTATACTTTAAAAGATAACAGTCCTTCCCCAAAACTAAACCACCTTTGTAAAGCTAATGTAGGTCCATTAGGTTACAAGGATTAAAAGGAGCCTTGGCCAGGGGCAGTGGCTCACGCCTGTAATCCCAACACTTTGGGAGCCTGAGATTGGTGGATTGCCTGAGCTCAAGAGTTCAAAACCAGCCTGGGCAACATGACGAAACTCCCGTCTCTACTAAAAATACAAAAAATTAGCTAGGCATGGTGGTGCGTGACTGTAATCCCAGCTACTCCAGAGGCTGAGGCAGGAGAATCGCTTGAACCTGGGAGATAGAGGTTGCAGTGAGACAAGATCACCCCATTGCACTCCAGCATGGGCGACAGAGCGAGACTCCTTCTCAAAAGAAAAAAAACAAAAACAAACAAACAAAAAACCTGAATTCTGCTAGTGTAAAGGATTCCCAGCCATTATTCCTGAGGTCACAAGATTTGCAACTTCCCTGATTCCTCCTGCAGATAACATCACTCCTGTAGAACCTAAGATTGGCCTTTTGAGATGTCTTTTCAGGTTTTTGCATTTCTTTTATTTAACACTTGATATGAACTAGGGGAAGATTTTTACATTTCTGACTATGATGGCTTGACCCAGACCCACCAACCAGTACTGTGTCCTCACCAGAAGAGGACCATTTTCCACCCACCCCTGTGATTGCATCCCCAACCAACCAGCAGCACCCATAACTTTGTCCGCCAAACTATCCTTGAAAAACACTAGCCTCAAAATTTCCAGAGAGACTGATTTGAATCATAAAACTCCAGTCTCCCATTCAGCCAGTTCTGCATGAATTAAACTCTCTCTATTGCAATTCCCCTGTTTTGATAAAATCAGCCCTATCTGGACAGTGAGCAAAATAAACCCACTGGGCAATTACAAACTGTCCACTTCTGACCTTGACCACCACTATGCTAACCCAAGTCCCAGTCATCTTGGATCCCAACATCCCTTTACTCCCAGGGTCCTTTCTTCTTCCAGCAGCCATCAGAGGCATTGATAGGGCTTGGCTGTGTCCCCACCCAAAACTCATCTTGAATTGTAGCTCCCATAATTCCCACATGTGGTGGGAGGGACCCAGTGAGAAATAACTGAGTCATGGGGGTAGTTTCCCCCCATACTGTTCTCATGGTAGTAAGTCTCACGAGATCTGATGGTTTTATAAGGGGTGGTTCCCCCTTTCACTTGGCTCTTATTCTCTGTTGCCTGCCTCTACGTAAGATGGGCCTTTGCTCCTCATTTGCCTTCCGTCATGACTGCAAGGCCTCCACAGCCATGTGGAACGTTGAGTCAGTTAAACCTCTTTCATTTATAAATTACCCAGTCTCAATGTCTTTATTTCGCAGCATGAGAAATGACTAATACAGGCACCCTTATAAAATCATAAACCAAAGAACATACAACATAGCAATTTGTAAATCCTACATGACTTCCCCATCTCCCTGGAAATAAAATCTAAACTTCTCTCCTTGATCATAAAGCCCTATAGGATCTTACCCCTGCCTGTTCCTCAAGCTCATCTGACACCATGCTTCCTTCTTCCTCTGTGCTCCAGCACCGATGGCCAAAGGTTTCTAGAACATTCCATTCTCTCTGCCGCCTCAAGGCCATTTCCCTCTGCCTGGGAGGTTTTTCATCCAAGTTTTCACATGGCTTCCTGGTCGTTGAGGTCTAGGGCCAAATGTCACCTCCCTCAGGGCTCTCTTGGGACCACCCTCTTCAACACATCCTCCTATTTTAATCCCATGTATAATATTTGCCATGTTAACAGGTTCTACTTTTTTTGGTCTGTTTGATCTCTGTGTGTTATTCACTGCTGCATCCTCATCGTGCACACTAGCTGATACTCCTAAAAAATATTTATTGAATGAATAAACGACCATCGGAAGGAGAAAGGAAACCCCTTCTCTCTCAGGACCCCAAATTCACTATGCCAAATGGGAGAGTTATGCTTGGAAACTGAGTCATGCAAAACACTGCCTTTCCCTTTGTTCCTAAACAGACAGCTGCAAGACAGAAGGCCACATATCTCTCCAGGTGGCCTCCCTCGCCTTGACAATGTAAATTAACAGCTTATCTTCAGAGGTATGGGACAAAGACAAGACTAGAAATCATCCCCCACTGCCCACCCTAAGACAAATGTATATTTGACGTTTCCCTCCACTTTATGTTTACTTTATCCCATGTAAAATACAGATTTACTGAGCTTGAGACAAATATATAAGTGACTGTTCCCCTACCCCCTCCTTTCAAATGCAAGATGTGGGTTCGGTAAGAGTTAATTAAAGCCTCATAAGAATGTGACCTCTCACCTCACTCCCTACCTTCCCTCTTTTCTTTCCTTCCTCCTTCCCCTCCTGCCCACTTTTTCCCCTTTAAATACAGAGTCCTCAAAGCCCTCTTTGGAAAAAGCACAGGCCAGATCCTCCAGCGACTTTCATCCCTTTTTCCTGGGGATGTCCTCAACCTTGGCAAAAGAAACCTCTAAACTGATTGAGGCCTGTGGCAGACACTTTGGTTTGCAGAAGAAACCACAACTGTAGCACATGATGTGAGCAGGTGGATCTGAAGGTGATGGTGTGTATTTTACATGACGGCATACCTCAATGTGTTTATTTTTTATTTCTATAAATGTAAGGGGTGCAGGAGCAATTCTGTTACATGGATAAACTGTGGAGTGGTGAAGTGTGGGCTTTTAGTGTATACCATCATCCAAACGGTGTACATTATACCCATGAAGTAATTCTCATCATCCCCCCCAACCACCCTCCCACTCTTCACAGTCTCTAGTATCTATCTCATTCCACACTCAATGCCTGTGTGTACACATATTTAGCTCCCACTCCCACTGATGAGATCATGCTGTCATATCTCAATGTAGATGCTAAATGTTCACCAGCAATACATGCTACATCTTTAGAGTTCGGAAAAATGTCATATGAGTCTGGGTGTGGTGGCTCACATCTGTAACCCTAGTGCTTTTGGAGGCTAAGGTGGGAGGACTGTTTAAGCCCAGGAGTTCAAGACCAGCCTGGGAAACATAGGGAGACCCCATCTCAAAAGAATTAATTAATTAATTATTATTATTATTATTATTATTTTTTGAGATGGAGCCTTGCTCTGTCGCCCAGGCTAGAGTGCAGTGGCGCCATCTTGGCTCACTGCAAGCTCCGCCTCCTGGGTTCACACCATTCTCCTGCCTCAGCCTCCCGAGTAGCTCGGACTACAGGCGCCCGCCACCGCACCTGGCTAATTTTTTCTATTTTTAGTAGAGACGGAGTTTCACCGTGTTAGCCAGGATGGTCTCGATCTCCTGACCTCATGATCCACCCACCTCGGCCTCCCAAAGTGCTGGCATTACAGGCATGAGCCACCACGCCCGGCCAATTGATTTTTTTTTAAATGTCAAATGAAGTAAATTCTCAGACCCAAGTAGTTCCAAATATATTTAATAACTGAATCAGGTATCAGGTTTTAAATTAATGAAAATGAAATAAAAGTAAAACTTCAATTTCTCACTGCTCTAGCCACATTTCCAGGGCTCCTGATATAGCCCCATGTGGCTGCTGGCCACCTCACTGGACGGTACAGGGGTGGCTCATGTCACCCACCACAGCAGCGATCACCGTTGCAGTTCACGGAGAACAGATTTCTACTCTGCCTTCATGGAGGTATCTTCTCCATGGGAGGCAGCGGTGGTCTCCACACGATCCACCAAGTCCAACCCTGCCAGCTTTTTCATTCTGCTCTCTCAGAGAAGCTGATATGGCCCAGTGATTCCAATAGGGAGCATCTGGGCAGAGTGCCCTGGAGGCAGCAGTCCATCCTCACTGACATACAGCACAACTTTACCCACTGTGCAAGAAGCACCTGAGCTTCCATGTCAGACCATGGAGGAGGACAGCATTTCTGGAGATAAATAAAGCCACCACGCTTAGAGAAAACAACAGAGGAGGGTGGGAAGAGCTCTGGCCCTGGAGCTAGACCGCCTGGGTTTGAATCCCAGCAGTGCTACTGACCAGCTATGTGACCTTGGGCACACAATTTAACTTCTCTATGACTCAGTTTACCTATAGGCAAAAGGTCAGCACCTACCCCTTAGAGGAGTTGAAAAGGACAAATGAAACAGAGTATATAAAGCATTTGTTGGGCTGGGCATGGTAGCTCATGCCTGTAATCTCAACACTTTGGGAGGCCAAGGCAGGAAGATCGCTTGAGGACAGGAGTTCAACACCAGCCTGAGCAAGAGAGTGAGATCCCTGCCCATCCCCCCTGTATTAGTCCATTTTCACACTGCTATCAAGAACTACCTGAGGCTGGGTAATTTATAAAGAAAAGAGGTTTAACTCACTCACAGTTCCACATGGGCTGGGGAGGCCTCAGGAAACTTACAATCGTGGCAGAAGAGGAAGAGGGGCAAGGCACATCTTATACGGCAGCAGGAGAGAATGAGAGTGAAGGGGGAACTGCCAAACACTTTTAAAGCATCAGATCTCATGAGAACTCACTCACTATCATGAGAACAGCATGGGGAAAACCTCCCCCCTCATCCAATCACCTCCCACCAAGTCCCTCCTTTGGCACATGGAGATTACAATTCGAGATGAGAGCTGGATGGGGACACAGAGCCAAATCATATCAACCCCCACCCACACCAATCTCTTAAATATTAAAAAATGGAAGGGTGGTGCATTCCTGTAGTCCCAGCTACTTGGGAGGCTGAGGCAGAAAGATTACTTGAGCCTAAGAATTCAAGGCTGCAGTGAGCCATGATCGCACCACTGCACTCCAGCCTGGGCAGCACAGCGAAACCTTATCTCTAAAAAAATAAAAATAATCACATAAAACAAAGCATATGTCACAAGTGCCTGGCACATCACAATGACTCCCTATAAATAATCATAATAATTATTCTTGCTCATTATAATACTTTGAGCTCTGCTCACAGAAGTACAGAACAACACAGGTGCCCCTGTTAAACTGAAGCCAAACTTCTAAAGCAGATCAATTACCAGGAGATCATTCACAATATAAAGGATTCTCATCGGGGACTCCTTTAAATACAGTGAAATCTGTGAAGGGCTTTTCAAATCGGAATCAATTTACCATATTGACATGGAATTCTTCAGGGACCCTTCGGGGAAGGACTCAGATGTAGTGTCCTCTCTGTCACTCTCATCTGTTGGTTGGTGAACAGCAGACTCTGTTCACCATTCCTACAATCAGCCAAGGGGGGCTGTGATGTTTCACAAGGCGCCACGGCAGAGAGATGAAAGTTGTTATGGGTGCTGTTGGATTTTAGGGCTGCTAAGAGAACCAGATGTTTAAAAGTAGCCCTGTGCAAGTCCAAGCCAGAGCTGCCAAATTCTCGACGCATGAAAAACAAAGGCGTCTGGCTTGGGAAAGTTTGTCCCAGGCAGACTCTCTGAGTCTATTTAGAAAGGGTTACAATGCAACGTTTGTATCTACACCCCTCCTGTACAGGTTTGCAAAACCGGAAATAATGCCTGTCACTCATGCAGTGACTCCTGGGCACAACCTTACAGCCAGTCCCTGTGCTGGGCATCAAGGAAATACAGAGATGACGTGAAATACCTGCTGGGTGAGCCATAGAAGCAAAGCGTTATTTGCTTCTGAGTCTGAAAGCTCAGCTGGGTGACCTTGGGCATGTTGCTTAACCTTTCTGTGATTCAGTCTTCTCATCTGTGAAATGGGGATAGCAGCAGGACCTTCCACACAAACTCACTGTGAGAAATGAGTAAAGATAAATGAAGGGGTTGGAACAGCTCCTGGCACACAGTAAGTGCTCAATAAATGTGTTTATTCTTAGTTGTGGTAGTAGACTGCTGATAAGGGGCTAAATTCAGGGTGTTAGGGTAGTACATAAAAAAGCTATCTAGGCTGGGCGCGGTGGCTCACGCCTATAATCCCAACACTTTGGGAGGCCGAGGCAGGCAGATCACTTGAGGTCAGGAGTTTGAGACCAGCCTGGCCAAACAGTGAAACCCTATCTCTACTACAAATACAAAAAATTAGCCGGGCGTGGTGGCAGGTACCTGTAATCCCAGCTACTCGGGAATCTGAGGCAGGAGAATGGCTTGAACCCAGGAGGTGCAGGTTGCAGTGAGCCAAGATCAGGCCACTGTACTCTGGCCTGGGCAGAGTGGGACTCCACCTCAGAAAAAAAAGTATCTAACTAGAGTATCAGGAAATGATTACCATCCCATACCATAGCCAGATTCAGCTCGTGGCCTATTTTCGCAAATAAAATTTTATTGGCACACAGCCACGTTCATTTGTTTACATGTTATCTCTGGCTGCTTTCCGGCTGCAGAGGCACAGTTCAGTAGTTGCCAAGGAGACTGAAGGGCCCTCAACATCTAAAATACCTCTTATCTGCTCCTTTAAGAAAAGGCTGGCCAACCTCTGATCCAATTCAATTCAGGAGGGATGTGATCAGGGAAGGCTTCCTGGAGGGTGACAACGTAAATTTTCCTTGGTTAATATTGACTCTTGCATTTCAGAGTTATTGAGGAGGATGCTTGGATCGGCAGGTTCGGGTAACAGAAAGGAAATAAGCATTGCCATCGACCTCTATCTGAATCAAATCCTACAGCAGGCATCACAGAACGGTGGCTCATGGGCCCAGAAACAGTCTGCAATCTAATTTGATATGAACCTGTGGTGCTTAAAAAACACCCGAGACAACATTGGATGGCTGGGATACATCATAATAAACCGCCTTTCCGGCTTCTATTAAAAACTCTGACGATCTGGCAACCCTGGGCCCACCCTTCCCATGGAGACCCCTTTTGCTGGGGTACCTGTTCTCCAGATCACCATGAGAACCTTTTCATTCCCCCCTTTACTCTATGTCTACAGCCTCTGCTCTGATGCTATCAAAGGCCTCTCACACATATTCTTGGTTCCCTGCCAACCCAGGCAGACAAGGCAAGCTGAGAAAACTAAAGTTCAGAGAGGTCAAGTGACTTTCCTAGGGATAGCCATCTGGTGAATGATAAAGCTGGACCGGAACCTGAGCCTTTGAGTCTAGCTCACTGTCCCTCTTCAGACATACAAACAGCGGAATGAGTCATTGCTACGATTTTACTAGGGCACTCCATAGTTTGAATAGCTCTTTTTTTTTTTTTTTTTTTTTGAGACAGTGTATTGCCCAGGCTGGAGTGCAGTGGTGCGATCTCGGCTCACTGCAACCTCTGCCTCCCGGGTTCAAGCGATTCTCCTGCCTCAGCCTCCTGAGTAGCTGGGATTACAGGCATGCACCACCATTCCCGGCTAATTTTTGTATTATTAGTAGAGACGGGGTTTCACCGTGTTGGTCAGGCTGGCTCAAACTGCTGATCTCGTGAACAGCTCTTTCACATATACGAGTCCAGATTGGAAAATGCAGACCTTGGATCCACGGAGGCCACGTAAATATTGAGTGGCATATGGTCACCAAAGGACTGACAAGGCAAGAGGCTAAAACTCCAGAAAGATAAGGACTAGAAGTGCATCTAGTCTATCTCAGGAGTCAGAGTGGGCAAATCTACTGAATCCAACAAGCACTGCTTAAGTGCCTGCTGGAATCAAGACAAAGAAAGAGGCCCAGCTCCCCATCTGGGGCTTAGAATGTCACAGGGAGGGTGTTACCTGTAAAGTAACAACGTAAGACCGACTGTGTTTCTGCAAGACTAAAGGGCAGAGACAGCTGAAACTTCGGTGGCCTACATGGCAGATTTAAGGACTTACTCAGGGCACAGGTGGAGACGTGGATTTAAGTGAGTATGAGTGATTTTTTTCGGGGAGTAGATGATGGGTGAACCATGGCCCTTGGATGATGTATTCGTTTCTTGCCAGCTGCCATAACAAAGCACCACTAAATGGCTTAAACAATCAAAATGTATTGCCTCCCATTTCTGGAGCCTAGAAATCTAAGATCAAGGTGTTGGTAGGGTTGGTTCCTTTTGAAGCCTGTGAGAAAGAATGTTCCATGCCCCTCTCCTGGCTTCTGGTGGTCTGCTGGGAATCTTGAATGTTCCTTCGCTTGTAGATACATCATGCCCCTCTCTGCCTTCGCCTTCACAAAGTGTCCTCCCTGTGTGCATGGCTATGTCCAAATGTCCCCGCCCCCCCCCACTGTTTTTTTGTTTTGTTTTGTTTTGTTTTGTTTTTGGCAGAGTCTTGCTCTGTCACCCAGGCTGGAGTGCAGTGGCTCGATCTCGGCTCATTGCAACCTCTACCTCCCAGGTTCAGGTGATTCTCCTGCCTCAGCCTCCTGAGTAGCTGGGATTACAGGTGCATGCCGCCACACCTGGCTAATTAAAATGCCCCCTTTTTATAAGGACACCAGTCATATTAGCTTAGGGACCCCCCCGCTTCTAGTATGACTGCATCTTTGCAAATTACATCTGCAATGACCGTCTTTCCAAACAAGGTCAACTTCCAATGTACTGGAAATCGGGACTTCAACATATGAATCTGGGGGCAGGAGAGGGGACATAATTCAACCCATAACAGATGACATCCTCAAAGTCACTGGGAAGCATGGCAACGGAGGCTGAGATGCTCAAGGCCATCCTCGAGGCTCCTCCCCACAAAGGGTAAAGACCTGGGTTCTCCCTGGCCTTTCTGGGCAGAATGAGAGTCCCCAGAGGTTCTGGTGCTGTTGGAAGGATCCTAAGCATCAAGGGAAGGGGTGTGGACAACTCCAGGCCTCCAGCACTGAGAGCAGGAGGGAAGCCCTGCTCCCTCCTCATTACACTGTGGAAAACAGAAAACTCAATTTATTTAAGAATAAACAGGCTTTAACCTGAAGTTCATTCTCCCGCTCCATGATGCTTTAGCATCTACATGCAACCGCAGCTGCCAGCATCATGCCCCGGTTGCACAGTCCGAAGGACCTATATTGGAAAAATAATGGCATTTTCTCAACAAATTATCTCACAGCTGAAGTAATAACTTGTTTAAAGATACGCCAATTCAGATTTTCATCCCCTTAACCTGCCACTAAAAGAAAAGCGGTGTCATCCCCATGGCAAAACAGGAGCAGTTTAATCACTTCTGCACCCCTGTCCTCCGGCCCTCGCCCCCAACTCCAGCCCCCACCACCACCCACAGCTGCACGTTTATTAATTTTAAGCCATTGACAGAGTCTCTTTGGAAACCATGTTTTTTTACTTCTCAGGTCAACATCCTCCAGCTCTGTTATAATAAAGTACACACTGCCAGAGATAAAGCAAATATTTCTTTGGGAAAGGAAAACAAAATAGAGTGGCTGTGTTTTCAACACAATCGCTAAGGATCCAGCCAGCGGACTTCTTCTCCAACAGCAGCCATCAGGCTAACTGGCCCTCACCAGGCTTCTCATTTATTTGGCAACAAGGAAATCACAGCTTCAAACTCTCTCCTGGCAACAGCAGCTTTCTCAGTCTTCGGCCAGGTAGACAGGAAGGACAGGGGCTGACAGTGAAAGGAATGCTGGGAGACACATCAAGCATTCAATCAACAAACAGTGGGTGCAGCTGACCCTGTGCCTGGCACTATGCTAGATTCTAGGTACCTCAGTGACTAACACAAATTATAGTACCTACTGTCCCCAAAGAACTTGCAGTTTAGGGGCTGGGCGCCATGGCTCACACCTGTAATCCCAGCACTTTGGGAGGCCAAGGTGGGCAGATTATTTGAGGTCAGGAGTTTGAGACCAGCTAGCCAACATGGTAAAACCCTGTCTCTACTAAAAATACAAAAATTAGCTGGGAGTGGTGGCACGCGCCTGTAATCCCAGCTACTTAGGAGGCTGAGGCATGAGAATCACTTGAACCTGGGAGGCGGAGGTTACAGTGAGCTGAGATCATGCCATCACACTCCAGCCTGGGTGACAGAAAGAGACTCCATCTCAAAAAAAAAGAAAGAGAGGGAGGGAGGGAGGGAGGAAGGGAGGAAGGAAGGAAGGAAGGAAGGAAGGAAGGAAGGAAGGAAGGAAGGAACTAACTAACTTGCAGTTTAGGAGGAGACACAGGCAATGAATCAACCCATCAACCTTCAAAGTCAGCTTGTAATGAAAGCCACGAGTGAAAGAAACAAGGTGTGGAGTTAGAGCGAGGAAGGCCAGCCGGAGGAGGGGACACCTGATCTGAAGTTTGAAGGACAAACGGGAATCAACCCTATATTGGGAAAGTAGTAACCCTATACTGGGAAGAGGAAAAAAGGGGAAGAAAAACAGAAGTAACAGCCAGGGGGATGACATAATCCAGCTCTCTCTCCTCTGTCTCTCTGTCTCACTCTCTCTTTCATACACACACACACACACACACACACACACACCTGTCTACAATCTATTCTTCAGAGTCAATTCTTTAACATTAGTGTTTGACAAAATGCAACTCTCCCTGGAATGAATTCCAATCAGCCCCAGCTCAGTGTGGATGAGTTTTTTCAGAGATCATGGCTGGAAAGCTTGCAAGGGAGATGATAGCACATAGGGACACTGGGCCCTTGGGCTGGAGGATGTTACAAAGGAAAAGGGACGAGGAAGCAAGGGAAACGGACTTCAGATCAATTTCCAAAACTTCCACCATTCTGCCTTGAGGTTGCTGGGAATGGAGCCACCCGGGGTGGGAGAGTCTTCCAGAAAAGCCAGACGGACTTCCTGCAAGTTCAATCTCTGCCTAAATTTATACAGAGAGATATACTTATGGGCACATATTTAGCATTTGCAAGCTGAAGTTGTGGAAATGGCACAAGAACTGGCCAGGGCAACTTTGAGCTTACCGATGTAACTATGTGTAGTGTTCTGCAACTGAGTTTTTTGAGGAAAGGGATGGCTTCTTCAACATCCTTTTCTATGTTCCCGGGCAGGTAATTTAACCTCTCTTTGTCTCTGTTCCTATATCTGTAAAATGGGAATAACATCATCCCCACCTCAAGGAGCTGGGAGGGGTAAATTTTAAAATGTATGCTAAGCACTCAGATAATGCCTGGCCTAGTTGTTCAATGAAGGGTTAGTGGCTATGGTTATTATTATTATTATTATTATTATTATATCAACTTCCACAACATTTAGGAGCACTAAACATTTATGGAATGTTTCTTGGCCAGTCAGCTCCTGCTTAAAAAATTATTACAGAAATAATTAGAAAATAAAATAAAAGCCATAGGCCCAAAGATATTTACAACATTATTTATTTAGAATATCAACAAAAATCTAAATGTTCAACAATTGAGCAATGGTGACATTAAATAAGGTGCATCAACGCAGTGGTGAATTATGCGCTAATTAGCAGGATCAGCAGAGAGATGACAGAAAAGCTTTAAAAGTGTTTCTAGGCTGAGCGTGGTGGCTCACGCCTGTAATCCCAACACTTCGGGAGGCTGAGGCAGGTGAATAGCTTGAGCCCAGGAGTTGGAGACCAGCCTGGACAACATAGCAAAGCCCTGTTTCTACAAAAAAAAAAAACACACACACACACACACAAAAAGTTAGCCAGGCATGGTGGTGCACACCTGTAGTCCCAGCCAACCAGGAGACTGAGGCACAAGGGTCCCTTGAGCCGGTGAGGTCAAGGCTGCAGTGAGCCGTCATTGCCCCACTGTACTCCAGCCTGGGCAACGGAGACCTTGTCTCAAAAACAAAAACAAAAAAAAAAGGGTTTACAAAGCACTATTAAGTGAATATGAAAAAGACGAAGTGTACACAGTTTAAAACAATGGGTATAAATACAGAAAGAAACTGAAGATGTGAAAATTGCAGTTGGGTTGGAATGGTGGGTTATGGATAATGTTTTTTAAAAGATAGTTTACAACATGAGAAAATACAAAATAAACTGCTTGTGGAAAAAATAGGATTCAAACCTATGAGGGGTTTATTTGGGGGCTGTTGGAGCATACAGTTCCTCCTTTAAGACATGGACAAAAAGAAGCTCTCTCTCTTGTCTCCATGGCAAACACCTAAATGGAAGGTGAAAATGCCCATCATTAAGCTCTCTTGATATTGAGCTTGTCTTATTCTACATACATGGGTGTTTGTTTTACTATATCCTTTTTTTTCTTTTCTTTTTTTTTTTTTTTAAGAGATAGGGTCTTACTCTATCACCCAGGCTGGAGTGCAGTGGCATGATCACAGCTCACTGAAACCTCAACCTCCTGGGCTCAAGCAATCCTGCTTCAGCTTCCTGGAAAGCTGGAACTACAGGCAACTTCCACCACACTTGGCTATTTTAAAAATTTTTTGTAGAGACAGGGTCTCACTCTGTTGCCCAGGATGGATATACCCTATTTTCTGATGAATTAATAGATAAATGAATCACAAAATATTCACCAGGTGCTTATGACATCAAAGGCCTGTGCGGAATGACCATCATCCCAGCTTCCAGAGTGAGGACCTCAAATATGAAGACGATACACAGAGACAAACAAGTAACTGATGGTAATAAGCCAGCCACAGCTAACACTTACCAATGCTTCCTGCAGGCCAGGGATCACTCTATGGATTTTATGGGAATACCTCCCTTTAATCCTCATATCCAGCCTTGGATGCAGCTATAGCCATTTGACAGATGAGGAGACACACTCACAAAGGGCAGGCGTCTTGCCCAAGTCATACAACCAGTAAGCGGCAAAACCTGGCTTTGAACCTACAAATCTTCTGCCAGGGCCGGCGATTTTAACACCTGGATTAGTCTGTTTTCACGCTGCTGATAAAGACATACCAGAGACTGGGTAATTTATCAAGAAAAAAAGGTTTAATGGACTCACAGTTCCAGGTGGCTGGCGAGGCCTCACAATCACGGCAGAAGGTGAAAGTCACGTCTTACATGGCAACAAACAAGAGAGAATGAGAGAGCTTGTGTAGGGAAACTCCCCTTTATAAAACTATCAGATCTCATGAGAGTCACTCACTATCACAAAAACAGCACCAGAAAGACCTGCCCCCATGATTCAATAACCTCCCACCGGGTCCCTCCCACAACACGTGGGGGAATCATGGCAGCTACAATTCAAGAAGAGACTTGGGTGTGAACATAGCCAAACTGTATCACTACTCTACTGCAGAAGAAGAGCCATGAAAGCTGTTCACAGCAGGAGAGGCAAAAGGCCCTTTCCTCAAAGCCCATCTGGGAATACCTCACCCTTGTCTCTTCTCCAGACACAATTCTCCATTGAGAGCCGTCCTCCAAGACCTCAGGTTCATAAGGGCTAGAAGAGCAGCTTGAAACGCTGGACTTGCCCTTTGGAGCCAGAGGTCAGGCCAGGTGGGAGCCATCCACTAGCAGGTTAGAGACAACGAGATTCTCTCTGTGCAGTTCAGACCACAGCCACAGAGAATTATTTAAACCCCTCCTGGGAAACCGCAGCAACGTCAGACAGATTCAATGTGCATAACTGTATGTGTGTGTGTCTATGTGTGGTTGGGGGGGGGGCTCAGGGAGGAGGTGTGACAAGCCTGAGTGACCCAGGAGGGACTCAGGGCCCAGGAAGGGTCGGATACTCCTCCCCCATCCAGGTGGGACACAGCGAGCTGAGCAGCCCCTGATGAAACCAAAAGAGTCTCAGATCCTGTCCCTTTTCCTCCTCAGAACTCAGAGCACTGGATCCTTTGTTCAGAAAGCAAGAGAAAACACCAACACAATTCCTGCTACAGCTGAGGATGAGGGCGTGGAGCAGGTCACACAGACATACTAGCAAGCCTGCAAAGTCAAAACCGTAACAGCCACAGTAACTGACACACGTCAACAACTGACCTGGAGCCAGATGTTGCCCCATTTAACCTCCAAGACTCTCCTGTGAGGTGAGAACCATGATCATCCCCATTATACAGGTGAGAAAACCAAGGCTGATGGGAATTCATCACATGGTGCATAGGAAGCAAAGCCATGTTTCGAATCCAGGAAGCCTCTCTGTCTTAGGAAGACACGCACCCACTCATGCATGCAACAACAGATGCACAAGTAACAGTCAGAGTTGGCCAGGCACAGGGGCAGTTGCCTGTAATTCCAACAACTCGGGAGGCTGAGGCGGGAGGACGACTTGAGGTCAGCAGTTCAAGACCAGTTTGGGCATATATTGAGACCCTGTCTCTAAAAAATAAAAATTTAAAAAGAAAAACATTCAGAGTTGTGTACATTCACAAAAGGCATGCAAACATAGCATAGGGATAGAAATACAGGCATAAACGTGTGCAGAGAGCTGCAACCACGCGCATCTGCCCCTCTTCTCCAAATAAGGGCTGCCTCTTTGCACACCTCTGAGAGGTGCCCTCCACACAGAATACAACATACACTTGTAATATTGCCACACACAAGCACATAACTTTCTGGAGGGATGACTCAGATTAGAAAAACAGCATTTAGAGGGCCCCTGGTTAATCAAACGGCCTCGCCACCCCGCGCCACCTCTCTACACAGCTGATGTTGCTGATCAATGTCGCGGCTGTGCAGAGGGGGCATTTGATACCACAAAGGGAGCCAACTCCTGCTGAGGAATGAATGTGGCGCTTGTCAGCTCTGCCCCAGGCAGCAGCACAACATGATGCCCTGTTTCTCCTGGAATCGGGGCCCTGCGTCCGCTCCAGCCCTCATTTTCATGTCTTTCTTCCCAACAGACACAAGGCCGGCTCAGTTCTGGAGAAACAGCGTGGCTGCCAAGGCCCAGTGGAGGGAGAAGGCCTTGAAAAGTCACTTTATAAAGCATCCGTGCTCGCAGCAGCCAAGCCACGAGGCCGGAGCGGCTGACTTTCCATTCGCCACACACCCCACCCAAAGACGAGAACTCTGCCACAGCCAGCCCTTGTTCTCACCCACTGGGAGCCCTGGGGAGTTGAAATCACAGGGACAGCAGCAGGGAGCCCTTGGCAGCAAACCCAGCTCCTGGCATCTTCCTCGGGGGCCGTAGCTTGCTGTGGTCAGCCGAGCCAGTCTGATGCAAGAACTGAATGACGCCCATTCACTGTGGTGCCCTCGTGAGCTGGGAGATGTCCAGGCTGAGGCTGGGGCAGGCAGGCTCTCTGTCACCTGCAGAGGCTGAGACAACCTCAAGGTAGGACGAGAACCCAGGGTTGAAGCTAGCAGAAGCCAGGCCCTGGGGCCCCTGATGCATGATGAGAGTGAAAAGAAGGGCACAGTGATGTAAAGAATTCCTCCATTTCCCCTCCCTGCCCTCAGTTACTTCCTATCCATACAGAGGGGGGATGAAAACTTTAAGATTTCACTATTCAGCTGAGACTGGTGACTCACGCCTGAAATCCCAGCACTTTGGGAGGCTGAGGTGGGTGGATCACTTGAGGTCGGGAGTTTGAGACCAGCCTGGCCAACATGGAGAAACCCCACTTCTACTAAAAATACAAAAATTAGCCAGGCGTGGTGGTGCATGCCTGTAATCCCAGCTATTTGGAAGGCTGAGGCAGGAGAATCGCTTGAACCTGGGAGGTGGAGGCTGCAATGGGCTGAGATTGCACCACTGCAGCCTAGCCTGGGCAACAGAGTGAGACTCTATTTTATAAAAATAAGAGACTCCACTATTCATGCATTCACATGCTCATTCAACAAATATTACTGAGCACCTACTATATGATGAGTGTTATTGTTTTAGGCACTGGGAGTACATTAGTCAAATAAATAGTCACCACCTGCATGTAGCTTGTTCTCAAAATTCTCAAGCTCTCCCAACCCTCCCCATAATGAACAGCTGTGTGACTTAGAGCACACTGCTTCCCCTCTCTGTGCTCCAGTGAGGTCTCTCCCAGGGTTCCTGTGAATCACCATCTGGGATCCAGTAAGCTCCCCCATGGGGCCTAAACTAGACTAAGTTGGTTTCCGTCACTCACAGCCAGAGGAGTCCTGCCTAAGAAATTGGGAAAGAGAGCGGAGAAGACAAAAAGCAGGTTTGGGAAGGCTGCAGGGAGCTGATGAGTCATTTGATCATCTGGAAAGCAGATGGGAAGACAAGTGGAGACCAGGAGGCCCTGGGGAAGAGAAGCTGTGTTCACGCCAACCTTCCCCAGCAGGCCTCAGAAGCTGGGGGTCAAAAGGGACCACAACGCCCATTTAAACAAGGAGGAAGATGCTGAACAGCTAAAGGGTTAATTCAAAAGAAAAAACAAAAGAAGAAATGGCCATTTCTTTTCCTTGTTCACTCAATGTTCCTTCAACAAATTATTCTATGTGCTTGGAATATATGAGGCCCTGGGTTGGGTGTGGTATGCAACAGAAAAATAAAACATAAGAACATAGTATGTCTCTTCCCACAGGGTCATATGGTCTTTCGAAAGTCACCCTTTTAATTTGAAACCTTTTGCTGCTTCTTTATTTTTATTTTTTAATTTAATTTTTTTGAGACAGAGTCTTGCTCTGTCACCCAGGCTGGAATGCAGTGACGCAATCTCGGCTCACTGCAACCTCTGCCTCCGGAGTTCAAGCGATTCTCCTGCCTCAGCCTCCCAAGTAGCTGGGATTATAGACCCCTGCCACCACCCCAGCTAGTTTTTATATTTTTAGGAGAGATGGGGTTTCGCCATGTTGGCCAGCAGTCTTGAACTCCTGGCCTCAGGTGATCTGCCTGCCTCGGCCTCCCAAAGTGCTAGGATTACAGGCAGGAGCCACTGCGTCCAGCCTATTTATTCTTATTTTAAAAATTTATATATATGTGTATATATATAAGGGGTATAACACAGCGTTATTTTTAAGGAATAAGAGATATTTTGCTTTTCAAAGTGCCTGCTAAGCCCAGTGACATACGCTTGGTTAGCAATCACTAAATGTGGACACATTATAAATCCTCTATATATTTTATAGAGATGGGGTCTTGCTATGTTGCCCAGTATGGACATGCGTTCCTGGGCTCAACTGATCCTCCTGCTCAGCCTCCCATGTGCTGGGATTATAGGCATGAGACAGCAGCACTCAGTCTCTTTGTTTATTTCTCTGCCTGCTCCCCACCCATCTGTGTGACCCCTACTAAAATAACCACTGCATGGTGTTCAAGGAAGAGTATGGCCTTGGGATTCAGGCAGGTCTGCATTCTAACCCAGGGCCTTCTACCTTCTGGCTATGTGCCCCTGAGCAAGTAACTTGGCCTCTGCTATGGCTTAGATGTGTGTCCCCTCCAAACCGCATGTTGAAATTTGATCCCCAGTGTTGGAGGTGGGGTCTAATGGGAGGTGTTTGGGTTTTGAGGGTGGATCCCTCATGAATAGATCAATACCCTCCTTCTATTAGTTCTGCAAGAGCTGGATGTTTACAAACAGTCTGGCCTTCCCCTCCCTCTCTCTTGCTTTCTTGCTTACCTGTAATATCTGCACATGCCAACTCCCCTTCACCTTCCACTGTGAGTGAAGCTGTCGGAGGCCCTCGCCAGATGCAGATGCCTAATCTTGAACTTACCAGCCATCAGAATCACAAACCAAATAAACTTTCTTTCTTTATAAACTACCCAGCATCAGATATTCCTTTATAGTAATACAAAATATACGATGATAGCCTCTCAGAGCCTCAATCACCTGCCCTGGAAAATGGGTACAACACCGAGTTCTTTTTAAGGAATAAATGATGTTTTGCTTTTCAAAGTGCATGCTAAGTAAGTGCAGTGACATACGCTTGGTAAGCAATCATTGAGTGTGAACATATTATAAATTCTCATGAAATCTAAGAGGCAAAGCCCTGGGAATATCACAATATTGATCTTCTAAAGTCAGTATCAGCTTTCTCATGGCTCAGACTCACTCCTGAGTTTTGTGCTTGGATACTTAACAATTGCTCACTCCTAAATTTCCTAACTAGTTCCAGCTTCAAACTGGAAAAATTCCTCCAGTGTATTCAAGCCTCGTTGCCTAGCACCACAATATCCTTGGTTGATGTGCTTCTAGGTGCTAAAAGAATAGGCCGGGGATGGTGGCTTAGGCCGATAATCCCAGCACTTTTGGAGGCCAGGGCCGGCGGATCACCTGAAGTCAGGAGTTTGAGACCAGCCTGACCAACATGGAGAAACCCCATCTGTAATAAAAATACAAAAATTAGCTGGGCGTGCTGGCACAGGCCTATAATCCCAACTACTCAGGAGGCTGAGGCAGGAGAATCGCTTGAACCCAGAAGGCTGAGGTTGCGGTGACCCAAGAGATCGCACCATTACACTCCAGCCCGGGCAACAAGAGTGAAACTCCATCTCAAAAAACAAAACAAAACAAAAAAAAAGAGTAACGAGTGTTAGATATTGGTGGGGGTGGCATCAGAAGGACTTTGTGTGACATTCCCAGGTCTGTTCTGAGCGCAAAGGCCAGATTTAGACAGCGTTGAGAACCCAAATGAGGCTCTAGAAACTGGTCCAAACAATGTGCCCATAATGACACGTGTCAAAACCGAAGAAGGCCTTAGTCAGGGGAAAAAAGATGCAAATTACAAAGACCTTTTTCAGAGCCACCACCTTCTAAAAGTGAACAGAAGGAGCAGGAAGCTGCCAAAGTGTACCAGAACCTCCTCCTTCGACGCTAGAAAGAGTAACAGGTCAAGCTCCAACTTGCAATTCAGTTCTATTTTGAAGTTTACTGGAAAGCAGAAAATAAGAAGGGATTTGAGAGAGGCCGGCAGTTTGAAGGCAAGGAGGAACTGAAATAAACACATTAGACCCAAGAACACAAAAGTCCTAGCAGCTTGGACCTGCTATTTCTCGACAGTTCCTCCAGGCTCCTCATGCATAAGCCAATCAGCAATGATGTGCATATTTCAGCAATGATGTGCATAATATTGATCTTGAACCACAGCGATCTTCCTAGTTCCTTTTGCCAGGAGAAAAGATGGGGGTGGCCACACATTTGAGAAAGAAAGTCCATTAACATTACCCAAGTTGGTTTTGAAGTATTGAGACACTTTTTTTTTTTTTTTTTTTTTTAGATGGAGTCTCACTCTGTTGCCAAGGCTGGAGTGCAGTGACGTGATCTCGGCTCACTGCAACCTCTGCCTATCGGGTTCATGTGGTTCTCCTGCTTCAACCTCCCGAGTAGCTGGGAGTACAGGTGCCCGCCACCACGTCCGACTAATTTTTGTATGTTTAGTAGAGATGGGGTTTCACCATGTTGGCCATGCTGGTCTCGAACTCCTGACCTCAAGTGATCCACCTGCCTTGCCCTCCCAAAGTGCTGGGATTACAGGTGTCAGCCACCACACCCAGCTGAGACACATTTTTAGGGTGTGTGTATGACCGAGTTTTATGGTTGCAAACAAAAGACTCCATGCTGCCCAGTTCAGGCATAAAAAGAATGTCCTGAATAATGCAAGATGATGTATAGGATGCTTGGACAACCAAAGCCAAATGTGGAGGCTCTGCTGTGGGTGATCATGTCCCAACCACACGGACACTGACCAGCACAGACCCTGTCCCTGCTGCTAATGAGTTCACACTGCCACCACCAGGCACAGACCCAAATCCTTGACCGCTGCTGGCTGCCCCTTTTGCCAGAATGGATTCTGTACCAGGCTAGTTTCCCCACATAACTTGCTCTTTCAGGAAATCCAAAAGTATTGATACAAAAGGTGTATTAGAGCCATAAGTGCATAGAGAGAAAAGCGGGTACATTAAGCTTTGATTCTCCACTGCCTGTTGTAATAGTTTGTTTTCACGTTGCTGATAAAGACACATCCGAGACTGGGCAATTTACAAAAAGAGGTTTATTGGTCTCACAGTTCCATGTGGCTGGAGAGGCCTCACAACCATGGCAGAAGATGAAAAGCACATCTCACATGGCAGCAGACAAGGGAAGAGAGAGCTTGTGCGGGAAATTTCCCTTTTCAAAACCATCAGATCTCATGAGACTCATTCACTATCACGAGAACAGCGCAGGAAAGACTCACCCCCATGATTAAATCACCTCCCACTGGGTTCCTCCCACGACATATGGGAATTGTGGGAGTTACAATTCAAGATGAGATCTGGGTGGGGACACAGCCAAACCATATCACCTGTCATTACTTTTTTTTTTTTTTTTTTTTGAGATGGAATCTCACTCTGCGGCCCAAGCTGGAGTGGTGTGATCTTGGCTCACTGCAACCTCTGCCTCCTAGGTTCAAGCGATTATCCTGCCTCAGCCTCCTGAATAGTTTGGATGGCAGGCGTATATCAGCATGCCCGGCTAATTTTGTATTTTTAGTAGAGACAGGGTTTCACCACGTTGGCCAGGCTGGTCTCAAACTCTTGACCTCAAGCCATCTGTCCACCTCAGCCTCCCAAAGTGCTGGGATTACAGGCGTGAGCCACCATGCCCAGCAGCCTGCCATTACTTTCATTAGCACCAGGCTTCTTGCATATTTTACAGATTGCTGTCAATGGTCTAATAAACAGGTGTGTTAACACATCCAGCAGTAAAGAACCGGGGCCCTCGAACCTGCCTGCCTGGGTCTGAACCCTGCTCCCCAGCCCTTACTTGCTGGAAGACCTTGGGCAAATTATTCAACTCCCATCTGAGAATATTATTCATAACAGCACCCACCTCATGGGCCAGTTGTGAAACTTACAGAAGTCAATTTAAACCAAGGACTGAACATAGTACTTGTAATATGAGTTTGTACAAAAGTATCAGTTGCTATTGTTGATGTTGATAATAAAAGCTAAAATAACATTATAACCCCCTTCATGGTGGTAGTTTCTTCATAAGCTGCCATTAAAGCAAAGAGCTACCTACTTAATACAATTTGCTCCCTAATTAATTAATTATATCTAAATTTCATTGTATTGTGTCATTCTACAAGGAATGCTGCTACTATCACCTTGGGCTGCTAAAAAAATGCCCAGTCACTAAAAAAAATTGCTTAGACGGTATTCTCTGTCATTTCTCCCAACGAATAGGCAGTTTATTATTTTTTGAAGAAGTCTTTTGGCTGTGACAATGGGGCCTCATAACAATGAATTGAGAACAATCACTTCCAAACAGCAGCTGAAAACACCCCTTGGTTGCCTCTGAGTTTGGGGGTCACTGATCAAGAGGGTGACTTTTCTGGGACCTCTGATCTCTTAATAGTTGTAGTTCAACAAGAGCAGTTGTGGTACATTCGGCTTCACCTTCATCGTGGGAGAATGACCAGATGCCTACCTGGTTTTAAACCACAGTCAGGGGCTCCGGAAACTGTCCAAGAAGAAACTCCGGTGCCCTGAAGGCCTCTGATGAGCAACAGAGTTACCTTACTGACTGATGGACACAGTTAATTCAGCTGCTAACTCTCAAATTCTACTGCTGACTCACAATCCGGCTGCCCATCACTAGGTGGCCCGGAGGCCTAAGGTGAAAAGGATGTTGTCTTTCTCTGGGCACATTTTCAGAAAGCCCATTTAAACTTCTTGGTGGGGCAAGAGGGGGCATAAAAGGGGGAACAAGATCTTCCACATTGCAATATTCATGTTTTAATTAGCGAGTGTCCAGAACCTCATATCAACTTGATTTGAAGGGCATGTGTAAGAAGTATACCTACAACTCCTTCTCTGAGCCCCAAAATGGCCCCCAAAAACGCTCCGCACAGCTCCTGGGGTTGAAGATCCTGGTGAGGTGCAGTTTGTTCTCACAGCCACCGTGCAGCCCAGGTCCATGTGCATGATTCACACGAGAAACTAGGTGAATAGCACTCCTGGGGGTGCAGAGGTATACAGGGCAGAACCTGGCACACAGCACCAGGTCCACGTGAGGGGGTCCTGGCGCACACACACGTACACAAACACACACAAACCCCACACACATACCAAGGATTCCAGAATTCTGGGCTTAACTCAGCCTAGACTCTACCACATTCTTCATTCTGTAGTTAGAGGCCAAAATAAAACTCGTGTAAACAGATTAAATACCGTGGTAACCAAATTCAAACCAAACACCAAGGATTGGGTGGGGGGAGGGGAAATAGTCTTACTTTGAAGCATTTGGGGGTGTGGGGGTGGGGAAGAAAAGAGGTAAAGAGGCTCTAAAGATTCTAAGACATCAAAGTTCTTTTCCTGATTTCCCAGTGGAAACAGGACAGTTTCTTATACTAGGTCTCCCAGTGGATCACCATCCACCATCTTGGAAGGCAGCCCAACTGACTGAGTCCCAAGGAGACCTAACAGAGATTTACTTTCCCAAACAAGGAATACTTCAATAAGGGTGTATCTACAGTTAGAGTGCTTAATTCCTTTCCGAGATGTTTTCCTAATGGCAGCACTCCTGGGGAGAGTCAGAAGAATGTGTAACTGGTCAAATCCTGAACCTGATTTGCAGTCCAGCCCATGTTCACAATGCTCGTATCTGCTGAGCCTCTGACTTCTGCGACCAATATAGGCCAAGTGTGTCTGGAGAGATAATACATATAGCCACACTCCCCACCTTTTCCTCAAGACTAGTCCAGACCACAAGCTGGATGAGGTCAAAAACTATGTCTAATTTCTCACCATTGTATGCTCAGTGCCCAGGCTGGTGCCTGACACGCAGTAGGCAGTCAGTGAATACAGCCCAAAGAGAGGTATGGCCACAGTCATCCTATTTGTGCCCCCGGGACCTGGTACTCAAAAAAGAAGTAACATATCTGATGATGGTATACAGGCATGCATCAATGCCACACACTGTGCACTGAGGGGACACTGGGCTGGCTTCACACCCTTCAAGGACTCTAAGCAGTCATGCTGGGTACCCACACATGAGCAAGGAAGGGGGTGTTCTGTGTGTTTTCATAGATAATGCATTTGTCTATTTGCCATCCATTCATCACATGGCTAATTAGTTCAACTACACTTTCTTATTTTTTGTCATCATTTTTTTTTTTTTTTGAGACAGGGTCTCACTCTGTCACCCAGGCTAGAATGCAGTGGTGCGTGGTGCAATCTCAGCTCACTGCAGCCTCAACCTCTTGGGTTCAATCAACCTCAGTGTTCGGAGTACCTGGGACTACAGGTGCTCACCACCATGCCTGGCTAATTTTTGTATTTTTTGTAGAGATGGGGTTTCGCCATGTTGCTCAGGCCGGTCTTGAACTCCTGGGCTTAAGCCATCCACCTGCCTTAGCCTCCCAAAGTGCTGAGATGACAGATTTTCTGTATTGTAGATGCTCTAGCATTAGGGGTTTTATAGACCTGGGTAAAGACATCCCCTCCCAGTTCTAGCCCGTTCTTAGAGATAGCAAAGGGCTCAACCAGGAGCAAGCCTCTCACATGCAAACCAACAAACCCAGAGTCTATACCCCCTCAGCCATCACCATATCTAACTCTCACACACCAAGCCAATTTTCCCCCGCCCTAAACCAACCTGGGGCCAGGTAGCAGGCAGCTAGAGACCCCTCTAGAGCCCAAAGCCCTCCTGAAATTATTCAAGCCGGTCAATCCCAAACTGTTTGCCCTGCCTTGCCTCACCTTTCCTGTGGGAACCCCAGTAAAGGTTCTGGCCTAGATTTTCTCCTTACTCCTGTCTTCTGCCTCCAAACCAAAAAACCAGGGCCTCCTGCTGTGGCCCTGCAAGCATGCTGTGCCTCTTCTTTCTAGGGAAACTGAGTCACACTAAACTTTCAAGGGCATTGACCTCACTGTGATGTCACCCAGACATCTCTATTTATTTATTTGGTGGGCTTTATTTCTATTTATTTGACCTCGCTGTGTTGTCACCCAGACACCTTTATTTACTTATTCATTTATTTGGTGGGCTTCATTTATTTGTATTTATTTTTTAGAGACAGGGTCTTGCTCTATCACCCAGGCCAGAGTACAGTGGCACAATCATAGCTCACTACAGTCTCGACCTCCTGGGCTCAAGCAATCCTCCAGCTTTAGCCTCTGGAGTGGCTGGGACCACAGGTGCACACCACTATGCCTGGCTATCAGACATCTTTATAAATTAAGACCCAGGCACAAAACGAGACGGACCCGTGGATGAGTCTCCTTGTAAGCGCCTTGCTTTCTCCGCTTCCTCCCACACTCCACTGGGCACCCACAGGAAGCCCTGACACACATAATGAGAAATGAGCAAAAGGGCATTTCTGCAAAGGGAGATGAAAAACAAATCTTAGAGGAGTGGCGAGTGTCCTGGTTAAGGCTATGGAGCCAGGCAGCCTGGGTTTGCTTGAAGGTCACCCCTGCCACCACCTCCTCACTGTGTGTACCAGCGCAGCCCCTCACCACCCTCAACTGCCGTTTGCTCAGTTATGGAACGGGGACCAGGACAACACAAGATGCTGTGAGATTAAAGCGCATGAATACCCAACGGGGCCGGCATGTGGTGAGCACTGTGTGGACGGTAACTGCGATGATTCCTCACTCTGCCTTCTCCAAGGGAATCAGAACTGCAGACCCCCCGCAGAGAAAAACGATCACACCCTTTATTCAGCACTTCCCGCGTGTCTGACACACAGCACCCACAGCCTGGGGTATAAACACCAAAAACCACCCTCACAGGGGCGGAATGATGTTCATTCCCATTTTGCAGAAGGGAAAACTGAGGTTCAGAGAGGTTAAGCAGGTTTCCCCCAAAACACAAAGCTGGAATTGGTGCGTGCAGCCAGGATTTCTGACTCCAAAAACTCTCCTCTCCTCTCCCTACTTTCAATCTCCCCCATTTCTGATCCCCTCCCCTCCACTGCAACACATATATATTGAGTGCCTACTGTATGCGAAGAGCTGGTGCAGGAGTTGAGAACACAGCAGTGAGCAACACTGCTGGAATCCGAGTCTTTATGAATCCTACAGGCAGCAGGAAAGAGGTCATTGAGGGGTAATCTCAGAAATAAATGGAGGCCGGGCGCGGTGGCTCACGCCTGTAATCCCACCACTTTGGGAGGCCGAGGCGGGCGGATTGCCTAAGCTCAGGAGTTCAAGACCACCCTGGGCAACATGGTGAAACCCCATCTCCACTAAAAAATACAAAAAATTAGCTGGGTGTGGTGGCACGTGACTGTAGTCCCAGCTACTCAGGAGGCTGTGGCAGGAGAACCGCTTGAGTCCGGGAGGCAGAGGTTGCAGTGAGCTGAGATAGCACCATTGCACTCCAGCTTGGGCTACAGAGTGAGACTCTGTCTCAAAAAAAGGAAAAAAAAACCCACAGAAATAAATGGAGAGTTCAGATGGGGATGAGAGCTATGGAGGAAAAGGAGAAGCTGCTGTGGTGAGCAGGAATACGAGATTCCATTTGCTGTGCATGCAGTGTGTCAGACACACGGGAAGTGTTGAATAAAGGGTGTAATCATGGAATCAAATGGATCCCTGATCATGGATCAAGAATCACAGACAGCTTCTATGGGGAAGAACATTCTGGAAGGAACAGCAAGCATGAAGGTCCCCAAATGGGACAGGACTGGATATGTTTGAGGAACTACCAGAAAGTCAGTATGGCAGTGACACAGTGACAAGAGAAAAGCAGGCAATGAGAGGAGAGCAGAGGTCCTACCAAGCTCGGCCCTCCCGACAATTTGGGTTGGATCACTGTTTGCTGTGGCGCTGTCCTGCACTCTGTAGAATAAGATGTTTAGTGGCACCCCTGGTCTGTACCCACTAAATGCCTATACAGCTCCCGCCCTGTCCTGCCAACCAAAAATGTCTCCAGACATTGCCAGATAATGCACCCCACATCCCTTCCGGGATAAACTGTGAGACTCCACGGCGATGCTATTTCAGGGACAAAAAGAAGCCTGTGCTTATGGAACAGAAACTGGCCTTGCCACGACCTCATTAGTGGAGAGGATGGGCCCCACTCATTTGGGGGAATTATTTGGGGAAAAGTATAAACTCCCTAGCTCAGCAGACTGCGAGCTCCCCATGAAAGGCCATGTGTCCTGGTTCCTCACACGGGGCCTGAGATGCGAAAGCACAGAGGGTACCTGGGAGGGACTGAGAAAGGAGGGGACTGTGGGGTCCAGTGGGCACATCCCTATCACAATCAGCCTGTGCAGCTAGGAGGCTGCCACGCACATCGGCAGACTCTGGCTTTCAAAATGACCCTGGAGGAGCTGCGGCTCCTGCTGGCATGTCAATGTCAACAGCCTTTACCCTCCCCAGCTCCTGGAATGCTAGAATTTAGATTCTCAGTTCTGCGGGAGAGCAGGACAGATTTACGGAATTCTCAGCGGCTGCCTCCACCAGGGGTTGCCAGGGGCAAGCATCTGCACCGTGGTGAAACATCTCTTTGAACAAGGAAGTGAGAGTGAGCATGTGCATTAACTATCGGAGATGTGGGGGAGAGGAGGAAGCCATGCAAATGAGCACGGACAGCCAGCAGAGACGTTTAACCTTGGTGCTGCTAGAGTACCCACAAGTGCTAACGAGGTGGCTGGTGTTGCTTTAATAATCAAATAATAACCAGGCAATGGTTTAGATCCATTTTGGACCCTTCACAATTCCCAGGACTACACTTAACAGTTTGGTAAGACTTTATGGATAGCTTGCAAGTTTGAAGGCGTAACTTTGTAAGCTCAGTTTTGACCCTGGAGGAAGGAGGTCATGAGTAAGATAGGGACACCAAAAAGAAGTCAGGTGGTATGCTTTTTCCATTGACTCACAGTCATTTCCAGGAGAAAAGAAAACATCACTGTGCAAGGCTCTACTGACTCTCTTAATTTATCCTCACAACAGCCTCGTATAGTAAATATTATCCTATTTTACATGGGAGAAAAATGAAGTTTAGAAGCTTGGGAAATCTGGTCTTCATTATTTGGCTACTAACCCTTAGTTTCCATCACAATTCCCTCATTCTCTCAGCTCTAGTCTAGTCTGGATCCTTTTGCAGTCCTGCCCCAGGACCTTGGCACAGGTTGTTTCCTGTGCCTGGATTACTCTGACCTCCCTTCTTCACCTGGTTAACGCGACTTAACCTTCCCATTCCTGCTTGCTCATCTCCCAGAGCCTCCTCTGGGCTTTTTCCAGGCCAAACTACTCTAACAAAAGCTCTCTTAGCATCAAGACTGCTGCTTCTGCATCAGGACTCTTCAAAGTTACAATTTAACAAAGAAGCCGGCGTGTGCTAGTTCACCACCGTAGGCATATGCGTCAGATTCAAGATGGCTTCAAATTCTTTGACATGCCTTTATCGAAAGGTAGTGTCTTATTCCCCTCCTCTTGAAGCCAAGATGGCCTTACTGACTCAGCTGACCAATTGAATGCAGTGAAAGTGATGTTCTGGGAATTCTAAGCCTCAATGATAACATACATACCTTTGCAGCTCCTGCTGGACCTCTTAGAATATTTACTCTGGGGAAACTCCCTCTTGGAACCCAGCCACCATGTGGCAAGAAGCCCAAGACACACAGGATAGACCATGTCTGATGCAGCCAACAGCTCCAGCTGAGCTCCCCCCAACAACCCTCACCAACTGCCAGGCACGTGCATGAGACACCTTGAGCAACCACCACAGCCAAACCTTCAGATGATCACAGCCCACTCCATATGTGTCAGTAACATATGCAGAAATCCAAGAAAGAACCATCCAGCCACGTCTAGTCAGCCCACAAAACCTTGAGAGATGATACTAAAGCACTGTTTTAGTCATTACGTTAGAGAACTATTTGTTACACAGCAGTAGATGATCAGAACCCTGTAAGATCCAGCATAATGAACAGTTGTTCAGCTTGTACACACCTTAGGCAGCAGCTAGGACTAGATGCTTAATAAATATATTATTTATGGATTAGACAAAGAATGTAGTGTGTGAAAAGATTAAGGTGGAGGCTGGATTTATACCCGTTTATATAACTCCAAGTTCCTCCTCTCTTTTCTTTTTAACCATAGCCTAATGCTCCCTTAAAAACAATAAAACCATTTTATTTCCAGCCTATCATATTTGATGCAGGTTTGGGAGGAAGAATACAATATTCAGACAGAGCCATGTCACAACAAAATGGCAGCTTTGGTTGCTTGTCATGCCTGGAAAAAAGTTCAGAGTTAAAAAAAAAAGTAGCTTGAGGCTGGGTGTGGTAGCTTACACCTATAATCCTAGCACTTTTGGAGGCTAAGGTGGGTAGACTGCTTGAGCCTAGGAGTTTGAGACCAGCCTGGGCAATATGGCAAAACCCTGTCTCTACAAAAAATACAAAAATAAGCCATCCATGGTGGTGAATGCCTGTAGTCCCAGCTAGTTGGGAGTCTGAGGTGGGAGGCTCGCTTGAGACCTGGACATTGAGGCTGCAGAGAGCCATGATGGTACCACTGCACTCCAGCCTGGGTGACAGAGCAAGATCCTGTCTCAAAAAATAAATAAATAAATAAAAAGGCTGTTCTTATGTCATTACACTCATTGACAGCACAGGGGTCTCTATGCCCTCTCTGCAGTTATAGCATGAGCGCTGCTGTAGGCGATATCTAAATGAATGGGTATAGCTGTGTTCCAATAAAGCTTTATTTACAAAAACAGGCAGTGGGCCAGATTCGCCCAACCCTAGTACACAGCATAATACAGTGGTCTTTCAATTTAGCAGTAAGCACGCAGTATAGGGAAAAGTTAATCCACGGACCTCTTTTTCCTTCTGTAAATTGAAAGAGAGGGAGCCTGCTTCCTTTGATTTGAGTATGGAATGACCTTGGCTAGTTCGTGAAGCCATCCATGGTGGTGAATGCCTGTAGTCCCAGCTAGTCGGGAGTCTGAGGTGGAAGGCTCGCTTGAGACCTGGAGGTTGAGGCTGCAGAGAGCCAGGATGGTACCACTGCGCTCCAGCCTGGGCGACAGAGCAAGATCCTGTCTCAAAAACAAAAACAAAAAAAGATAGACTGCTCTTATGTCATTACACTCATTGACATAGCTCAGGGGTCTCTATGCCCTCTATGCAGTTATAGCATGAGCTATAGACAATAGGTAAATGAATGGGCATAGCTGTGTTCCAATAAAGCTTTATTTACAAAAACAGGCAGTGGGCCAGATTCGCCCATCCCTGGTACACAGCATAATACAGTGGCCTTTCAATTTAGCAGTAGCCACGCAGTTTGTAAACTCAATGAAACAGGCAATGCCTTTGACTGAAATGACTCTTGGTACTTTAATTTTGCATTTTAGACAACATCTTTCACTGCATTTTCACATGCTGAAATGGGTTCAGATTTCTAAAATATAAGAAAAAGTTACAGTAAAACAAAACAAAACAAAAAACACTTAATATAGGGAAAAGCTAATCCATGGACCTCTTTTTCCTTCTGTAAATTGAAAGAGAGGGAGCCTGCTTCCTTTGATTTGAGTATGGAATGACCTTGGCTAGTTCATGAAGGCAGGAACATTCCATGAGACAGGAGTTAGGAAACCACTGGGTCACTCATAGCAAGGATAATTTCCCCTCACTGGCCCTCAAAGAACTATTTGTTGATAAATAATGAATCCAAAATCTATTGGAAGGAGAGTAATCCACTCATTACTGTTAGTCCATTCAATAGGGCTCAATGACTGGGTGAAGTTTATTCAAAGCAGCAAAATATCATCTAATGGCTTGCTCTTTTGTCTTTGTAGGATCAAGCCTTTCATCTTAGAAAGTGCTACCCACGTTATCCAAAACTAGCAAAAATAATTTAATTAATGTGTATATAAGCCACAAGTGCCCAAATTATAGCTTGTGCCCAAACCCTAGGTAATGCTAGAGTTATACACATAATTTTTTAATTTCGTATTTTCAAGAAATGATAGACCCTATAAATTATATTTTTAAATGAGCCAGGAAGTAATGGCTAATGTTAATTCTTAGGCAACAGAAACGTGCTACGCTAATTATTATTAGCAATAATGGCTCAATGGGTAAAGAACTTCTGAACTCACAAAGCAATTTTTAAAAACTGTATTGCATTGTTTCATACCTAAAAGAGTCCCAGGGTTAGGTAATTTTTTTCATTTTATAGGTGAATAAAGGGAGACGCAGGGTAGGTACCTGCTCATAGTCATAGCTAAGTAGCCAGGACTCGGTTGCTATCCAAGGCTTCTTCTATCTGGAACACTTCAAGAGAACAAGGCAACTCCTCTCCAAATATAATTAATATGCAACCTCTCTTCCTATTATTCTTTGTGAAGTTTAGCACTATCCAAAAAAATGTACTAGGCTAATTATTCAGATTTTTTTTTGCGAAGGGTGCAAATGTTCTTTCTATTGAATGTGTGTGCATGTCATTTATTACACCATATTTTTAAAGGGAGACTAATGCCCAATAATGACCCCAGGGCTTAGCTTTGAAGAAAATTCCAACCAAAAACATCACCTTACTGTCTGAATCTGTCTCCATTTCAGCAACTGAATCTTTGTTGCTGGACTCAATAAAACACACTTCAGATTTCTAATGCTTGGATGGGAGATGAGTTGGTCCAAGCTAGATCCTCTTGTCTTTGGGCCCACACCAAACACCAAACACGAGTCAACCACTCTTGCACCACCACAGGTATGCATGTATTAATATCGGCTTCCCTTCTGCCACAGCTGTGACTTGTGTTGGGATTATTTCTACTCCGCCAGCTTGTTTACCTTATTAGAGTAACCTTACAGCTCAATCATTAGGACTCCATGGAGAAGCCATGGAAAATCAAGACTCAGACATATATTTCGATCTTAGGAGAACATGCCTGTGCTTTGTCTGTCATTATTCTTTTTATGGGATTCTAAGGCAGTCTAAGATAGGAGAATCACTACAAGGCTCCTGAAAAATCCCTGCCAATTAAGGAGTGACAGACTGCATTTTCCAAAGATGACCACAGCTATATTTCCTATCCCATATGCTCTTCTGCAAGGTGACTTTGCCACCCCCATCCCTTCAAGAGGTGGGACTTATTTTTCCCGTCCTTAGAATCTGGACAGGCCCTGTGACTGCTTTGAGCAACAGAATATGGCAGGAGTGATGCTGTGCCAGTTTTAAGTGTAGCCCTTAACTTTATGGCAGCTTCCACCTTCCTGCCTGCTGGAGGCCAGCCACCACATCAGAAGTGACACTACCCTGAGGCCATCCAGCTGTGAGACAATCAAGCCACAGGAAGATGCTTGATGCTACCTGGAGAGAAACAGACAGAGGGGTCAAGGAGGAACAAAGCACCAGACAGACGGACGATAAAGTCTTAGAAGTGGATCCTCCAGCCCCAGTGGACAACACATGGAGCCGAGACAAACCTCCCAGCAGAGCCCTTCCTAAGGTCCTGATCCACAAAATTAGGAACAAAACAAAATTAATGTTTTAAGCCACTCAGTTTTCAGATAGTTTATTATGGAATACCAGAGAACTGTTAACATTTTTTTTTCAAGACCGAGTCTCACTCAATCACCCAGGCCAGAATGCAGTGGTGCAATCTTGGCTCACTGCAGCCTTGAACTCCTGGGCTGAAGCAATGTTCCCACCTAAGCCTTCCAAGTAGTTAGGTCTACGTGTCTGGCTAGCTTTTTTTTTGAGACGGAGTCTTGCTTTGTCACCCAGGCTGGAGTGCAATGGCATGATCTCCACTCACCGGAAGCTCTGCCTCCCGGGTTCACGCCATTCTCCTGCCTCAGCCTCCCGAGTAGCTGGGACTACAGATGCCCACCACCACACCCGGCTAATTTTTTGTATTTTTAGTAGAGACGGGGTTTCACCATGATGTCTGGCTAACTTTTTAATCTTTGTAGAGGTGGGGTCTCGCTCTGTCACCCAGGCTGGAATGCAGTAACATGATCATAGATCACTACAGCCTCAACCTCCTGGGATCAAGTCATCCTCCCACCTTAGCCTCCTGAGTGGCTGCGACTACAGGTGTGTGCCACTATGCCCAGCTAATTTTTTAAAATTTTTCATAGAGATGAGGTTTTACTATGTTGCCCAAGCTGGTCTCAAACCCCTGGACTCAAGTGATCCTCCCACTTTGGTCTCTCAAAGTGCTAGGATTACAGGTATGCACCACTGTGCCTGGCCCACAAATTTTACTTTATTATTTTTTTTTGGAGACAGAGTCTTACTCTGTCACCCAGGCTGGAGTGCAGTAGTGCGATCTTGGCTCACTGCAGCCTCCGCCTCCTGGGTTCAAGCGATTCTCCTGTCAGCCTCCCAAGTAGCTGGCATTAAAGGCATGCAACACCACGCCTAACTAATTTTTGTATTTTTAGTAGAGACGGGGTTTCACCATGTTGGCAAGGCTGGTCTAGAACTCCTGACCTCCTGACTTCAGGTGATCCGCCCACCTCAGCCTCCCAAAGTACTGGGATTACAGGTGTGAGTCACCATGCCTGGCCTCACAGATATTTTTTATTGAAACACAAGTTAGATCTTCCTTGGGGTCACTGCAAATAGTTGTATGATTTGTGTACCGCAAAGTGGCAAATAGGGGCTGAAATCCAACCAGTGCTTTGCTCACCACGCCCTGCATCGGTGAGCTCTGGTCTTCTGCTAAGAGGCTGACTTTTTTAGCCCTGCAAAGTCCCCGTACAGACTAGCAGTACGTCGAAGCACAGTCATCCAAATGTGGGACCTTCAATAACGATGACTTAAGAATTTGACGGAACAATGTGATTATCGTTGCCAGAGGAGGTTTTTCTTCCCTGCTAATATCCTGGACACCTCGCTGGGCTTGCCAACTTTATCTGGTCCCTTCTTCCTCTGCCCCAAGATTCCACCCTTAAACTGGAGTAGGTGCTTTCACTGCCCAGTGGGGCCGCCCTTCTCGGCAGGCCTCCCCAGCAGCGCCTGATGTTTCATCTCATGTGAAATTGCCCCAAAACACAGGATCAGCTCTGCACTGGGCCATCACTGCCACTCCTCAGGGGCAGCTGAGTCTCCTCCCTGTGGCCTTCCAACAATGGCTGGCAGTAAGGCTCATTCAGAACCCATTAAGGCGATTGTTTTTTCCTCAAGGGCACTTCCTTGAGGGCTGAATACCAATCAGCCTGCGATACAAAGGAGGGGCCCCCTGTCATCCTTGGGACTGTGCAGTGGCTCTGTGGGGACAATCCCACGTGCTGTCCTCCCTACAACCTCACTCCCCTGGGCTTTTGTGCAGGAGTCAATATTGATTACTGTTATTTCTTTCTTTTTTCTCTTTTTTTTTTGAGACAGAGTCTCACTCTGTCACCAGGCTGGAGTGCATTGGTGCAATCTCAGTCTTAGCTCACTGCAACCTCTGCCTCCCAGGTTCAAGCGATTCTCCTGCTTCAGTCTCCTGAGTGGCTGGGACTACAGGTGCATGCCACCATGCCCAGCTAATTTTTGTATTTTTAGTAGAGACGGGGTTTTACCATGTTGGCCAGGATGGTCTCGATCCCTTGACCTGGTGATCTCCCTGCCTCGGCCTCCCAAAGGATTACTGTTATTTCATGAGATGACTACAGGCTCATCATGCCACAGCAGTGGTGACCCAGGAGCAATTCTCATAGTATAAGCAAGTCCTATAGCAAAATCCATGGGAACCTATAGGACCGTGGCCAAAGTCATCTCTGCCTCCCAAGAAGGGGCAGGAAGTCCTATTGGCCTCATCTAACCATTTATGCCTGTTCTTACAAGCTCTCAATCTGTCCATCCAACCCAGGAGACACTCGGTCATCATCCACCCTTTACTTCTTCTGAAAAGCTGATGCAAATAACTTGGGCTTTAAAACCCAAAAAGATCTGTGTCCCAATCCAGACTCTGCCACTTCTTAGCTGTGTGATGTTAAGTGACTGTCTAAACTTCTCTACTTCCTCACCTGTCAAATGAAAGCAAGGACACCTTCTAGCAAACCTGAGAGAACTGAACAAGATAAGGCCAAGTAGGCTACAAATGGCACCCACAAGTTATTCCATTCGGTTCATGAACAAACCTTTCATTACAAATTCCAATACTTATGTATTTATGCTGATGTATGAGAAGACGATAGGCTTCATGAAGACCATGATTTTATGGACATTATAGCTTAGGTTGAGCTAAGTAAAAAGTGAGTGGATGCAAAGAAAAATATGAAGTAAATAAACCATGACCGGGGAGTGTTATGTGGATGCTGTAGAAACACCAAGAAAATAAGATAGGTGGACACAGCCGGGTGCGGTGGCTCATGCCGTGATCCCAGCACTTTGGGAGGCCGAGGCAGGCGGATCACGAGGTCAGGAGTTACAGACCATCCTGGTCAACACGGTGAAACCCCGTCTTTACTAAAAATACAAAAAGTAGCTGGCTGTAGTGGTAGGTGCCTGTAATCCCAGCTACTCGGGAGGCTGAGGCAGGAGAATTGCTTGAACCCGGGAGGCAGAGGTTGCAGTCAGCTGAGATTGCACCACGGCACTCCAGCCTGGGTGACAGAGCAAGACTCCATCTCAAAAAAAAAAAAAAAAAAAAAAGATACGTGGACACACACCCCGACACTGTACCACATGGTAGGTACAGACATCACCACCACCTGGCACATTTTAGGTGCTGAATCAGCATCTGTTTCCCTCTCCTGTAACCTCCTGTGGCATCAGCCTCCACCCTTGAACTTGGCTCCAGCCTCATTAGGGTTTGGCCAAGCCTTAGAAGTTGGAGGTGGACTCCCTGCAGTCTTGGGGACGGTTCCCAACACCAGGGTGGTAAGGAGGAATGGTCTTTAGCTTTGCAGGTCATGATTTCCCTTGAAGCACCTCGTAAACAGCAGGGCTGGCCCACCTCAATAAAATTTTACTCAGCGCTTGCAATTCCCCCAACTTCCTTCCGTAGCCAGATGCTGCCCTTTGCTGTGTGCTTAACTCCCCACTGACAACTGATGGCATTTAGATGCATTGTAGGGTGAGACCCAGAAGGCTGCTCATTAACATCGTCTATATATTTTAAGAGCCAAGAAACCATTTTTCTTGGACCTACCAATTATATAGGACACCATGCAGCTCCCTTCCAAATGTCGACCCACTCTAGATAGTTGAGGCTAAATCAACCAAGAAGGTGTATTAGCTTTCACCAGACCCATGGACAAATAATTCTTCTTACACTTCTAGGTAGCAATGTAACATTTTGCTTCCCAGAAACCAAAGCTCACATTTAAACACATGGCACCCAAGCCCATATTTCAGGAAAGGCCCTTTGTTAATTGTTCATAGGAAAGTAATCCAATAGGGTCTCCAACTTCCTGCTGCTGTTCATTCCACCTGCTGCTACACCTGGGCTTATTTATTCCACCCTGAATGGTTTTCTTTCCCCCAGCACACAGCCAGGCTGGTTCCTGCCTCCGTGCCTTGCCCAGGCTGTTCCCTGAGTCCTGAATGCCCTTCCTGCTCCTTCCTGCCTACCAAATACCTTAAATACATCCTTCAAACTCAGCTCAGATGGCGCTCCCTCCAAGAAGCCACCTGTAACTTCCAGAAAGTTAATGTCCCGCCACCCTGTGCCACTTCCTACCTCGTTTAGCACGTCATGTGGTACCATGACCACTTCCATGTCTATACGTGTATTTTGCCACGAGATCTGTTCCCAATGTTTTGTAAGGAACAAAGTAAGTGAGCAATGCATGTCTGGAGAATGAATAAATTCAGGAATCCCATTAATGACAGTATCTATCTGTTTAACAAATATTCATGGAGCACATACTAAGTGCTAGGGACTGAGGATACCACATTAAAGAAGAAGAAAGGACAGATTCCTGTCCTCATGGGGTTTATGTTCTAGATACGGGGAGAAAAAGTTACATACAAATAAACAAGATTATTTTAGATAGTGATAAATTTATGACAACAATAAAACAAGGCAATAGCATTACGGCCGGGCACGGTGGCTCATACCTGTAATCCCACCACTTTGGGAGGCCGAGGCAGATGGATCACCTGAGGTCAGGAGTTCAAGACCAGCCTGGCCAACATGGTGACACCCTGACTCTACTAAAAATACAAAAAGTAGCCAGGCGTGGTGGTCCAGCTACTCAGGAGGCTGAGGCATGAGAACTGCTTGAACCCGGGAGGCAGAGGTTGCAGTGAGCTGAGATCTCACCACTGCACTCTAGCCTGGGAAAAAGTGTGAGTGAGACTCCATCTCAAAAAATAAATAAATAAACAAAACAAGGCAATAGCATAGAGCAGAGATTAGCAAACTTTGACCAGTGAGTCAGATCCAGTCTACCACCTGTTTCTGTAAATAAAGTTTTATTGACACATAGACACGCCCACTAAGTTATTGCCTCTGACTGCTTTTGCCCAACAATGGCAGAGCTGAGTAGGTTTAACAGAGACCCTATGGCCCATAAGCCTACAATATTTCCTGTCTGGCCCTTTACAGAAAACATTCACAGACCTCTCATATGACTAAGGAGAGAGGAAAAACTTTAAGTAGGGTGAAAAGGGAAGGCCACTGTAAAAAGATGACATTTGAGTGAAGACCAGAATACTAAGAAGGTGTCAGCCATGCAAAAATATAGGGTAAAGCATCCCAGATAGAAGAAGGAACAAGTGCAAGGGCCCTGAGGCAGGATAGAGACAGAGAAAGGAGAGTGTGGCTTGGGAGTAATTAGGTGGTGAATGATACAAAATCAGGCATCATGGTAGGCAGAGCCCATGTGATGGGGAATCTCACAAGCTGTGGAAAGGGCTTCCTGCTAACACTCATGAATAATTCTGAAAGGCAGCGAAGGTATCTGGGATTTGGGCAGCAAGTGGTGAAATCGTGTCCACGGAAGAGAAGGGACGATAGCACCACCATCATGAATGAGGAAGTCTAAAATGTTGACGCTTGGCTCAAGACTTCTTTGCCACCACGAACAACATCTCCAAGTCAAGCTCTGCCTTTTGTTGTTGTTTGGTTTTTCTGAGACAGAGTCTGGCTCTGCCACCTAGGCTGGTGTGCAGTGGTGCGATCTCGCCTCACGGCAGCCTCCCAGGCTTAAGCAATCTTCCCACCTCAGCCTCCTGAGTAGCTGGGACTACAAGTGTGCACCGCCGCACCTGGCTGATTTCTTATTTTTTGTAGAGACAGACCCTCACTGTGTTCTCCTTGCTGGTCTCAAACTCAAGTGATCCTCCCATCTTGGCCTCCCAAAGCGCTGGGATTACAGGCGTGAACCATCACTCCCAGCTTCAAGTTCTGCTTTTCAAATGCGTCACCCCACATCCCCAACACAAGGTTGCCCAAATGTGCACAGAAGATGCTTCTACAACAGCTGAATCAGCATCCACATGTATCCTACCCACACTCTTTTTTGTATTTAAAAGACTCACTGTTTCTTCTCTTACATTCGTGTTTTAAAAGGAACCATTAGTTCACTTTAAAATCACAGGTTTAATAAGCCAGCTACATACATTTCACTTAAATACAAAAAGGTTTTTTTTTTTTTAAAACGTTCACCTGTCTACCACCTCAAATCATCTCAGCCACACTCTGGGAAACAATTGTTTAGAGTTCAAACCTATAGGAACCTCATTAATTTCAATCCACACCTAACTTCTGACAGTACTACCGGAGAGGCGGGGGTTTGGAGGACCTTTTTATTTTTTATTTTTTTGAGACAGCGTCTCACTCTGTCGCCCAGGCTGAAGTGCAGTGGTGTGATTTCGGCTCACTGCAACCTCTGCCTCCCAGGTTCAAGCGATTCTCACCCTCCTGAGTAGCTGGGATTACAGGCACACACCATCACGCACAGCTAGTTTTTGTATTTTTACTAGAGCCAGAGGTTCGCCATGTTGGCCAGGCTGGTCTTGAACTCCTGGCCTCAGATGATCTGCCCGCCTCAGCCTCCCAAAGTGCTGGGATTAAAGGCATGAGCCACTGCACCAGGACTGGAGTAGCTTTTGACCAGGACAGTGAGGACAGAGGACAGCTTGAGGGTGCAGCACAAGCTCTGGCGGCAGAGCTTACACCTGACCCTGTCACTTTCCAGCTGTGTGCTCTTGACCATGTTAAATCTGAGAGCCTCAGACTCCTGTCTATAAAATGAGCCAGGCTGAGGGGCTGTTGAGAGAATTAAGAGATGCACCTGACTTGGCCCAGGACCTGACCCATGCTAGATGCTCAATAAATGGTCACAGCTCTGATTACAAATGCATAATTATTTACAGTCATAATGATGATCATCAAAAGTCCTTTGGTCTCTCCAAAAGTGCTAAAAGCATCTCTTGTCATCAATGTGTCTGAGCTTTTGAGACATCTGTAGCCGCAGCCCACTCACCAACTGACATCCCCTTGCCGCCAGGGGTTTCGGGAAGCTTTCGGCCGTGTGGTAGTTTTCCACTGGGTTCACCAAACTAGGTCTCTTTTTTCTTGCTTTCCTTTTATTTTTTGTTTCCAAAAGGTTCCTGATTAACAATCTTTCAGAGAGGGAGGAGGAAAGAAATTACAGCAAATGTTCCTTTACTCTGGTCCCTGCTGGGCTGGGAGGCTGCTATTTCAGACTCAATCAGCTACCTGCAGGGTCAATGGATGAAATGCCTCCCCATAGGGATCAGGAGGATGCAGGGCCATTGGGAAGCTTCCACAGGGACCTGTGGCCTAAAAACCCCAACTGCTCAAAAGACTCAGGGACCTCAAACCTAAAGGGGATGGGAGCCCAATTTCTTTAAGAAGCACCCGTCTTTGAAAAGCAGCATTTCTCACTCTACCTCTGCAGGGGGAAAGGAGCAACATACATCCCCTGAAAGTAATTACCTTCAAGTTGTGAGGATCAAACGCCATCCTTAACTGGAGATAATCCGAAATTCACTTTGAAACCCCCTCTGTCCAAGCAGGCTTAAGTCTCTAACTGCTTAATTCAAGAAATCATTAAAAATGGTCTTTCTTTCCTTGCCACAAACAGAGTAAGGTAAGAGAAAGACAGCCAAGAAACCTGTTGAACTGCTGATGAGAAATGCGACAGCAATAAAATCACTGGCCCAAAATAATTCTGCCGCAGGTTAACTCAACGGCAAGTATGTTGCTCTCACCTCCAAGGATGGCGAATTCTTAAGTTCTTTTGTTCCAATCACCATCTTCCAGAAATGGCTACATTAAGTTGTAGGGCCTCATGTCAAACAAAAGTGGCAGCGAGGATGGTTACTTCTGTGTGTTAACTTGATTGGGCCACGGGGTGCCCAAATTAAACATGACTTCTGGGTGCATCTGTGAAGGTGTTTCTGGACGAGATTAACATTTGAACTGGTGAACTCAGTAAAGTACATGGCCCTTTCCAATGTGGGTGGTTATCAGCCAGTAGATGGAGGGCCCACAAAGAGGGAGAGAAAGAAATTTATTTTTCTTGCATTACTGCGTGAGCTGAGACATCCATCTCACCTTCTCCAGCTCAGACCGGGATTTACATTATTGGCTCCCTTGATTCTCAGACCCTTGGCCTGGGACTGGATTTCATGACCAGCTTTCCTGGGTCTCCAGCTTGCAGAGAGTAGCTGCAGGGACTTCCCAAACTCCATAATCATGGGAGCCAATTCCCATAATAATTTTTTTTTTTTTTTTTTTTTTGAGACAGAGTCTTGCTCGGTCGCCCAGGCTGGAGTGCAGTGGTGTGATCTTGGCTCACTGCAACCTCTGCCTCCCAGGTTCAAGTGATTCTCCTGCCTCAGCCCCCCAAGTAGCTGGGATTACAGGTGCCCACCACCGCGCTCAGCTAATTTTTGTATTTTTAGTAGAGACTGGGTTTCACCATGTTGGCCAGGCTGGTCTTGAACTCCTGACCTCAAGTGATCTGCCCACTTCAGCCTCCCAAAGTGCTGGGATTATAATACACAGGTTGAGCATCCCTAACCCAATCATCTGAAATGCTCCAGAATCTAGAACGTTTTGAGTACCACCATGATGCTCAAATGAAACGCTCACTGGAACATTTTGGATTTCAGAATTTCAGATTACGGGTGCTCAACCAGTAAGTATAACACAAAATATCCCAAATCTGAAAAGATCCAGAATGCACAAAGATTCTGGTCCCAAGCACTTTGGTTAAGAGACACTCAGCCTGTACATGGTTCTGTTTCCCTGGAGAACCAAACTAATACAGGTGCCTTGTTCAAAAATTATAAATTTCAAGATGGCGGCAGCAGAACATTAAACCAAGTGCAGGCCCATTCCTGGAGGGGCCCCCAGTCTTGCCTGCTTCCCTTTCCAGGGTGCCTCTCATGGCTCCTCTCCCTGTATTTTCCCAACCTAACCAGACCCTATGATCTGACAAAGGAATTCTTTTTTTCCCCACCCTAATTTGTGAATGTTTACATATGGTCTTCCAGATTCACAATCCATGAACCCCCTTGCTTGCAAAAAATAAAATGACATAAAAACAGAGCTAACCAGCCACCTCAGGGATCCTCAAAACCTTTTAGTTTGTAGACCAGAACCTGAAGCCTGAGCTTCTTTTAATTTTCATTATCTCATTCTAAGAGATAGTATCTAAAGTAAACTGGGGCTGAACAGCACTCATAACTTAGCTGAAAAAAGAAATGTAGAATGACCCAAAATGTATAATAAATGCAAAATGAGAAAAGCTAAACATGAAAAAGCTAGTAATTTAAAATATGTATAAGTAAATAAAAATAAAACCATCTCCAGAGCAGAGGTGGGCAAGCATTTTCTGTAAAGATCCAGGAATACACATTTTTGGCTCTGCAGCCCATAAAGTCTCTGTGGCAGCTACTCAGCTCTGCAGTGGAATGCTGAGTAGCCACAAAAAACAACACATACACGAGTGGGCGTGGCTGTGTTCCAATAAAGCTTTATTTATATAAACACTGAGCTGACTGGATGTGTCCTTCAAGGCCTTATTTTGCTGACCTATGGCTTAGAGCGGCGCTTCTCAAACTTCACGTGCACATCTATCGCCTGGGAATCTTGTGAAAATGCAAATTCTGACTCAGAAGGTCGGGAGTGGGGCTTGAGATTCTGCATTCCTAACAAGTCCCCAGGGGATGCTGAGGCTGCGTGTCCAAGGACCCCACTTTGAGAAGCAAAAGAGCACCCCCAGAAAAGAAAAGAAGGAAAACCTACTAAAGAACCCAAATTTAAGAAGCACTTAGCAGAACACAGTATAGAAAAGTAATTTATTTTCTCATCACCAAGGAACAGAGTTATGCAATTTAAGTGTATCTTCAGAAGGGGAATACCATGTCATTGGTGATCAAGGATGGAGTTAACTATCATTATCAGAAAGCAAAATGCTACACCGTTTTTAACCACCGCTGTGCATTTTCTGGTGGCAGTTAACACGGACATATAGCGATCAATGCAGGTAAACGAATCCATTCGAAGGCAGGCCATGGATGGTAAATCACGTTGTCCAATAAAGTTGCTAAATTAGCAACAGCGTGACACAGAGCATTTTTTATAAAAGCGAATCCTTTTTGGAAGGAGATGGACTGCAGGGGTGTGTGGCTAGCAAGACTGGAGGGTGGAAGGGAGAAGCAGCCATGGCTGCGGATCCTTCTGGGGTCTGGAAGCTCTGAATTTTGCTGGGGGATATAATGTGAAACCGGTGTGGAGGCTTTTCCTGTGTGTTATCAAGGCCCCAGTGAGGGTCTGTTGCCCACAGGCAGATACCAATGGTTGTATTTCACACACAGCGGTATTTAATAAACCTCTTCACCATCCAGTTTATAAGAAGATAAAAAAAAAATGGCTGGTTCCACTCAAACACTGCTGGCAGGAATGCAGAATGGCACAGCCACTTTGGAAGACACTTCAACGATTTCTTAAAAAGTTAAATATAAATTTGCCATGTGACCCAGGAATCCTGCTCCCAGGAATCTACCCAAGAGAAATGAAAACATATGTCCACACCCAGACTTCTATGCAAATGCTCATAGCAGCGTTATTCACAACAGCCCCAAAAGCAGAAAAAACCCAGTGTCCATCAGCCAGTGAATTAGTAAATAACATGCCGTATATCCTTACAGTGGAATACTATTCAGCAATATACGACTACACATATAGACCTCAAAAACATCACGTGATAGCCAGTGCAAAAACCACATACTGCATGCTTCCATTTATATAAAATATCCAGAATAGGCAGATCTATAGAGACAGCAGATTAGCGGGTGCCTGGAAATGGACTCCGATTGGCATAAGGAGTCTTATCAGGGTTATGAAAATGTCCTAAAACTAGATTATGGTGTTGGTTGCACAGCTCAGTAAGTTTACTAAAAATTATTGCATAGAACCCTTGAAATGTGTAAATTTTACAGTATGTAAATCACATCTCAATAAAGTTGTTTAAAAAAATGGTTCCCATTATATCTTTCCCTTTTTCATCGCTCACCTCTCTAGTCCTTAAATAACATAGAGATCCTGTAGACTGCAATAAACCCAAAGACACGCTGGTTGTTCTAGAGGAGGCTAAAGCAAGTCTTCCGACCCAAGCAGATACGCTGGAGATGGCACATCAATTGTCTTGTCAAAAGAGGAAAAAAAAACACGCAAGGGCCACGTATTTGATTTTTACAGTGAACGATGAATTCATCTGTGGTCAGAGCATCACTCGGGCAGAGACGGGCAGTGCCCTCGAAGATGCCTCCAAACCCACAGCCTCCAATCCCAACCCAATCCCAGCCCAGGAGCTTCCAAAGACCTAAGCCCTGAGGAGAATGGGAATCAGGAGTGACGGTAATGATGACAAAGGCTCAGCCCATCAGCTGTGTTAGAAAAAAAAAGGAAGAGAAAACTTGCTAAGTGGAGAGCCAAATTCACCTCGCCCCACATGCAGCCACGCCCAAAACTCCCATGCCCACCCAACAAGCCATGTCTTTTGAACCATGCTATCACCCCGAAAAGTGACTCTTTTGAGGTCACACTCTGATGGCAGAAAAAACTCCCATGTGCTTGGAAGGAAATGAAAACTCTAGTGATATACCTTTGGCTTGCCTCCAGATGGAGAAAGAAAATCTTAAGAAATGTTGAGCTATTGCAACATCCCCTTTTTGGGAAAAACAATATTTCCAGCAGATGGGAGAATCATAAAAAGTAAGGAAGCACGGTCGGGAAGGGTTGCCTAGAATGATCCACAGTGTCTGCAGTGGCCATCTTCCCCCAGCCCACTTCAGAATCCACAAACACGCATGATGGTAGCAGCCAGCTCAGGGTCAAAGACAGAACTTGGGGCTAGAAACTAGGACTTGGGATGGCCCACAAGTGGGTCCAGCCATGACCCTGGTCATCTGGGTGCTGGGTAGTTGAGCCTACCAGGTACAGAAGGAACCCCGCCGAGGAGGCTTTGGGGTCTGAAGAATGGAATTTGGGCTCCAGCGAGGGACTTAACAGCATTTCCTCTATAGCCTCAAAGGTATTTGAATCAGGAACACTAGCTTCACAGCCAGAGGCCTGATAATCTCCTTCTCCCCTTTCATTGAAAAAGAAAATATCTAAGATACTGGAGAATACAGTAAAATCCTTAACTCTGTTCCCCCACCCCCGCTTTTTTTTCCTTCATTCCTAGCGGCAAGGCTGGATAAGCTTATCAAGAGCAGGCAAACTACATCTTAGCTCTGATCCTTTCGAGAAATCCATTTGGCGCCTTTAACGTTTCATTTGGCAGATTGAATTTCGGGCATGTATTTATGGGACTGGGTTTGCCCTTAATAGAGTATTGCATAAATCCCATTACAGTATCCACTTCAGTGTGTTTGGGGTTTTCTAAGCCAGGGCTTTATCTAAGTGGACAGCATGGGAATGACCCACTCTGGCTCAGAAACTCCCGCCTCTGCCCTGGAACCAACCTTTGCAGATTGCCTCCATCATCATCAATGTCAAATGATGTTTTGGGAAAAGTTCTGGGAAGGGTCAGAATGAAGCATGTCCCATCCACAAAGAAGGTGGTGACAAGCGTGTCATCACCTGCTAGTAAATTACAGGATTTCCTTCCAGGAACCACCTCGCTCCACATCCCTCTTCCTTCTGGCAACAGCCAGAGAAAGTCTGTTATCCACACAATGCCTTTCTGTCTTTCGTAAGTATGCAATGATGAAGATGCATTACTTGTCATTTCTGAAAACAAAACAATTATTAAGAAAAGTGAGCTATAAACAAAACAGATCAGGCTTAGCAACCCTGAATAAGCCAGTTCTCTGTAACCCTCAAGTTAATCATTTAAAAAAACAATGGGGCCAGGCACAATGGCTCATGCCTGTAATCCCAAAACTTGGGGAGGCCAAGGCAGAAGGATCACTTGAGGCCAGGAGTTCGAGACCAGCCTGGGTAACATAGCAAGACCCCATTTCTACAAAAATAATACTGATAATTACAAAATTAGCCAGGTGTGGTAGCACACATCTGTAGCCCCAGCTACTTGGGAGGCTGATGTGGGAGGGTCTCTTCAGTTCAGGAGTTCAGGGCTATAGTGAGCTATGACTGCACCACTGCACTCTAGCTTGGGCAACAGAGCGAGACCCTGTCTCTAAGAAAAAAAAAAAAAGAAGAAGAAGAAGAATGGAATTAGCAATCCCAACAACACAGGTGTGGAGTTTTAATGCAGATGAAAGAAGAAAGCATGCTTAGCTCACAGGAGGTGCTCAGTGACGCTTGGCCCATGCACTCATGGCACACACCTTAGTTCATCTTTCCTAGCTGGCTCTTTCTTGGCAGGGCTGGACAGGCCACTTACTTCCCAGGCAACAAGGCAGAGATGCCTGTAAGATGCCTTCTGCGTACATGGTTCAGGTCCGGCGTGGCACGCACCATATGCAAGAGTCAGGGGTTACACCAGGCTGAAGTGTCAGTACATTAAGAACCATTTCCTTCCTCCTGGGATCTGTCCTGGAAGCACGCACAGAACTCTCCATTCACTGACTTTTCACATAAATAGACTCCAAAGCAGAAATGCATGGAAAGGGGCTGACAGCGGGCCTCAGAGCCCCACATAAAGCTAAAGGAAAGCCATTTGGCCTTCTGGAACCTTCTTTTACCAAGGCACACTGTCCCCTCACCCCCTACAAGAACCCAGCAATCCATTATCTGGTCACTTTCTTCTACGACACAAGCAAGTTTTTAAAAAAGGCAACGGCAGCTGCAGTAAACGAAGAAGTGTACGTGATGAGGGCCCTTTGGGCTATTTCAGGCTCTGTCCCTGCCTGAAGGTGGCTGTGGGTTTGGTTACATCTAAGTTGGGCCTCAGAGCTTGTGAAGGTAAATGCTTCCTGATGAGAAGGAAAAAAAAAAGTCTAAGGAGTCTTCATTGATTCAACCGACATCTACAAAGTTCCTACTATGTGCCAGGCTCCAGCAGGTGGCCAAAGGGAACCTGGTATACTAAAGACCTGGTGCCCTCTCTCCAGGGCTGAATCCTCCAAGGATTCTCTCATTGACTTTATTTTCATCTTACATCACCCGTGAGCAGCTGGGGTAGATGTTGTGCAGTTACTGAAGAATTTGTATGTACTATAGGAGGCATGAAGAATGCATGACTTTATTTACTTCCAACTAAAGGCAGGAAGTAGTAGTAATGTCTCCACTGATATGGTTTGGCTGTGTCCCCACCCAAATCTCACCTTGAATTGTAATAATCCCCACATGCCAAGGGCGGGGCCAGGTGGAGATAACTGAATCATGGGGGCCGTTTCCCCCATCCTGTTCTCATGGTAGGGAATAAGTCTCATGAGATCTGATGGTTTAATAAATGGGAGTTCCCCTGCACATGCTCTCTTACCTGCCATCAAGTAAGACATGACTTTGCTCCTCGTTCGCCTTCTGCCATGATTGTGCGGCCTCCCCAGCCATGTTAGAACTTCGAGTCAATTAAATCTCTTTCCTTTATAAATTACTCAGTCTCGGGTATGTCTTTATTAGCAGTGTGAGAAAAGACAATTACACGGTCTAAGAGATGAGCATGTCAAGGCCCAGAGAGATGAAGTGACTTGCCCAAGGTCATACAGACAGGAAGGGGTAAAGGGATTTGAACCAAGGCTGTCTGGCTCCAGAGTCCCCACTCATTGCCATGATATCGCCTTGCTTTCAGGAGTTTGCTGTGGTCTGATCTCAGCACTACCACCGTGGCTGGCACATAGTAGGGGCGTGGATGGCACATAGTATGGGCCCAGGCAGCATTGGTGAAACTGAATTTGATCATCTTATTTAAAGCTACTGCAATCACATTCAGCTTTTAAGCTACGGGTTGGGAACGAGGTCATTCTATAAAAATGGAAAGCAGAAATTTACCCTGAGGAATTTTTTAGAGTTAGGGATAGAAGTCCAAAAGGGAATCTACTTCAAATGACCAGAGAGCTAAGACATGACCTCAATACAATATGATTAAATGAGATGCAGTGGAGAATTACATAACAGTTCAGAAACACAATTTACATCTCCACTGGTGCTTTCCTTTTTATTAAACTAGCATTTCTGTTACGCTGACAATACAGAAGAGCAAGGTCTTCTGGAACTGTTTGGCTTACACAGGCGTGAGAGAAGTGAAGACTTATTCCATTCACTGGGTAACATATGGGTTTCCCAGAGAGAAAGTCCACACAGCCATGCATGTGAAATGGGTGATGATAACAATAGTAATTGCTGACCCTCTTGAGTCCTTCCTGGGGGCCAGACCTGTGCGAAATGATCCACCTGCATTAGCTCATTGAATCCTCATGAGAACCTTCTGTGGCAGGTAAACAGTATGGGTCCCATTTTACAGATCCGAAAACTGAGTGAAGCCGAGCTCTAAACTCAGGCCATCTGTCTGAGGCTCTCAGTCCTTAGACTACATTTGGAACACTTTACTCAAAGAACACCAATTATGATAAGGAAAAAAGAAAAAAAACGATGCTTGCCAAAATCCAGACATCTCAGACATGAAGGCAAGAGATCCGGAACCATCTGGGCCCGTGTAGGGTACAAGCTGCCGGCTTCCCACTTTAATACCATTCCCTTGGGCTAAACTCCCACATGTGGCCACAGAAACCCACTTTTCAAACCCGGCATCCTCCGCCTCCAATCGTATTTGGCTCCACAGAAGCCAAGAAGGCATTTGGGGACAAGCAATCTTTATCTGTACCAAATGTTTATTGGAGCCACTCCAGGAAATGGTCCCACGTGAAGCCAATGTGCACGATGTCACCCACATCTGCTTGGAATGCACTTGTATCTACATTGCAATGCTCAGAGTTACATGTCTCTTGAAACGCCACCCTGCACAGCTATCACCTGGTCCAACAAGAATAACAGCCTACTGTTCGTGGAGCGGTTGTTTAGATAAAGAGAAGAGAGGGAAGGAGGAATCAGATCGCTCCTTCAAAATACCTCTCCCCATGCACCAATTACAGAAAATTGTTCTGGGAGGCAGGAGGAGCTCTCCAAAGTGTTTAGGAACACAAATCTGGCAAGTTTAAAAAATACAGTGAAGTTCACTTTCCTGAACTCCAGCATCATGTCCTCAAAGCTAAATCATACTGAGCAGTATTTGCAGCAAAGAGGCTGAATACTGGTTGCCGCACGGTGCAGTCAGCCTTTCTGGACGGGATCATACATACTTACCAACAGAATTCTTGAGGTTTGCAGAGGAACCAAAATTACAAACTATCAGAAGAAGAAAAACCCTCACATCAAATGCGAATGGAACATTCAGGAAGAGAGAAAGGATTAAAGAAATGGAAAAGACGAAAACCTTTCCCACTGGGTAGAAGGAAGGAGCACTGGTTTCCAAAACCACTAAGGGGCCCTTAATGGCCAGAGAGGGAGAATATTTAAAAAGGTCTGCAATTCTAGAATTTCCCCACAGATGAGATCAGGCATCTGTGAGACGAACCTAATCGCAGAGGAAAACAGGAAGAAGATGATGATGTTAATAGCGCTCTCCCCTAACTTTGGTTTGGTGGCTGACCCAACCCATAGCATTTTTATAGCCATTATTTCATTCAATATGGTAATTGTGAAGGTAAGAGATAGCATGAATGACCACTACTCTTGTACTTCACCAAAAAAGCCTATTGTATGGGACACTGATGTCCTCATTGGGGCAACTATGGCCAAGGTAAATGTTAAGTGGAGGCCAGATTAAACATACGCTACGTAAGAGTGGAGGACTGTCAGATACTTGACTATATGTAAGGTAGACACTGATAGCATGGGTGCCTGAATCAGACTACCAGCGTTCACATCTGTATCAGTTCATTCCCGCATCCCTAGAAAGAACAACTTGAGACTGGATAATTTATGAAGAAAAGAGATTTAATTGACTCAGTTCCACAGGCTGTACAGGACGCATGGCTAGGAGGCTTCAGAAGACTTACAATCATGGCAGAAGGTGAAGGGGAAGCAAGCATATGGTGGCAGGAGAGAGAGAGTGAAGGGGGAGGTGCTACACACTTCGAAACCATCAGATCTCATGAGAACTCACTCATTATCACGAGAACAGTAAGGGGAAAGTCCGCCCCCATGATCCAATCACCTCCCACCAGGCCCCTCCCTCAACACTGGGAATTACAATTCAACATGAGATTTGGGTGGGGACACAGAGCCAAACCATATCAGCATCCAAGCTCAACAGCTCACTTACTAGGTGATCTTGTATGAGTCAGTACACCTCCATGTCTGTTTTCTCATTTATAAATTAGATCTGATCATTGAAATTAAAGAGTTGTCATAAGGATGAGTGCAATACAGAAATATTGGTAAATTCTGGTAAATACAGAAATTTAAGCTGTTATCAAATCATTGTCATCATCATAGTGGCTAAAAGTTAGTGAAGCAATGATTTAGATCAAGTATGGCAGGCACATGGCATACGTGGCACAATTTCTTCCTCCTGCATCCATGGTGGACATGGCTAGTTGATTGCAGAACTTTGCCTTTAAACTCAGATGCAGCCTCAGAATTGGTCACACAGAGTTCCAGTTATCCCCAAACAAAGTTGACGGACAGATGGGTGAAAGATTTTTTGCTACCCTCTAGAACCTCATCAGAAACCAGATAAAACCAGCCGCTCCCAGAGAAACAGTCACTTCTTGTTGGATAGTGGAAAAGAGCGGCTCCCTAAATTACAGTCATCCTTCCAAAGACCGACATAATTTTGCCATATCTGCATGTATTGTGTGCTATTATTTATGCAATGTTTATTTGAATATATTTAAAAGAGAAACTTATACCTGCATCCCAAATGAAAAATGAGTTGACACAAGCCCTAAACAGAAGATAATGTGAAAAGAAAGAAAAGAAAGGAGGAATGGTACTGTTGTAATCCGGCTAGAAAACACTGTAGTAGTAGGTTCTGAATGTCTGCTTTCCATTGTTAAAAAGGGAAACTGACAAGTTTTAGAAAGGTGATAAAGATGTGCTAACAACAAACCGAGACTTCCTCTTTGACTCAACCACTTCCTATAAGATTCAATGTCATTTAAATTGTGCCAAGGTACCTGTAGTAGGCAGCTCCTAAGATGGCCCCAAGGATACCCACTCCAGTATCCCCACTCCCACCCAAATCCATCCGGAATGTGAGCCAGATTTAGTCACTCACTTCTAATAAACAGAAAAAATACAGAAGTGATGGTATTCCACATTCAAGGTTTGGTTCTAAAAAGACTGCAGCGTATTAGGTGCATCTTAGGTGCTGTCTCTCCCATATTCTCTCTTAGATCCTTGGCTTTTGGGGAATCCAACTGTCATGTTGTGAGCTTCCCTATGGTTAGGACCTGTAAGAGGCTTCCAGCTAACAGCCAGCAAGGAAGGAACTGGGGCCCTTGGTGCAACAGCCCATGCAAAACTGAGGCCAGCTAACAACTACGTAAGTGAATTTGGAAGCAAATCCTCCCCAGTAGAACTTTCAGATGAGACCAAAGATCTGGCCGTCAACATGAATGCAGAATGAACTGATAACCTTCATAACATTTTCTAATTAACACATATTCATTGAGAAAGCAAAGATTCAAGAGATGCACTGAACCAGAGCACGCTGCTTGCTCACCCATACAGGCAAACAATAAGTGGTAAGTATCAGAATGACTTCCTGGATGAGAATTTTCATGTACACATACACACATAATTACAGTCAGCACAACTGCATTCAATGTCAGCCATTTCTATCAGCTCTTTCTCGTTCTTTGATCTTAATTACATGAACAAGTAGCAGACCATGAGCCTTAGAGGCCTGTGGACCTGAGTTCCAGTGCCCCCTCTGCCCCTAATGAACTGTGTGGCCTTGAAATAGAAATGGAATCTTATCCGTTCATCTGCAGAATCTGGATACTAAGTTCCACTTCACATGTCAATGAAAGGAATAGATGCATTTGTATTTGAATGTGATTAGCATGGTTTATGGTTGCCTAAATAAAATATAAGCTTCCTAGTGTAATATTCTCCATGGACTACTGCTCTCTGCTACGATCTATAATAACCCAGGCTGGAGAAGTCCAGTAGGGGTAAGTTTCACACTTTGGGTCAGGGGAGTCAGCACTGCATAGAAATCTAAAGCAAAGGTGGCTGAACGAGAAAAGCTAAGTTCCAACACTTACTAATGGCGTGGCTGTGAGCATGGTACCGACCCTCATCTGTAAAACGGGCATAACCAGTGCCTACCTATGTTCTGATGGCTGAATGAGATAATATAGTTAAGGACTCAGAGTAGTGCCAGGCACACAATAAAACAAACAAATGTTACATATTTTGTCAAAATTATCATTAATTTTTTTGAGATGTATTCTTGCTTTGTCACCCAGGCTGGAGTGCCTCAGCTCATGCCTCCGCACTCCAGCCTGGGCGACAGAACGCCTCCCAGGTTCAAGCGATTCTCCTGCCTCAGCCTCTCGAGTAGCTGGGACGACAGGAAAAATTATCATTTATTGTTATTATCACTATCATAATTTAATTCATAAGTGGTTATATAGAGACCTTTATGATAAATCCAGCTCACTGAAATGTTTTGTTTGGCCACACAGGGTGTTACTGAAAAAAACACAAAACTGAATTAGTTGTTAATATTTATTAAATATTGCACTAAAAAAAAGGAAATTTCCGGTTGCTTTTAATACCTGAAAGAATGGATAACCCTGGGCCTGATTCTCTTACAGTCACAGGCAGTGGAGCCAAGAAGCAACAGTCCACTGCCTCTGCTCTTCTGTCCACCAAAGTCCTCACCATTCCCTATCGCCCTGCACCTGTCCTAGAGTACCAACTTACTTCTCCTGGCCTCAAGGGAATTGGGACTTTGGACTCTTGTTTTAATTCCTTAAAGTCCTGCCTTAAATTTCAAATTCTTGGATGATTTTTTTAAATAGCAGGTACTCTAAGTAGCAATCGCAAGAACAGATCTTGAATAAGATTAAGTCTCCCTCAGGAAATCCTCAGCAACACTAAGTGTCAGATAATGGCTGAGGATAAAGATAGGATCATTATCAAAAGGAGGATAAAGATCCAGCTCTCTACAATAACCCTCCACACGTGACCCAAAAATGAGCTTCCAGAGCTTAAACGTCAAAGCGTTAAAGTTATTTTTGCCATCCCCTTCTGTGATGGTTAATTTAATGTATCAACTTGATGTGGCCACAGAGTACCCAGATAGTCAGTCAGACATTCTTCTGGGGTGTCTTTGAGGATATTTCTGGTTGAGATTAACATTTGCACTGGTGGCTGATCCACCCCCATGTATGGTGAGCTCCTCTGCCTGGCTTCTTGAGCTGGGAAACCTGTCTTTTCCTGCCTTTGAGTTCAGATGAAAACATTGGCCCTTCCCAGATCTTGAGACTGCTGGTTTTCAGACTGGAACAACACTCTGGCCCTCCTGGGACCCAGCTTGCCACCGCAGGCCTTGGGACTTCTCAGCCATCATACTTGTATGAGCCAATTCCTTATAATGAAACTGTATGCGTGTGTCTCATATACATCCCATTGGTTGTTTCTCTGGAGAACCCTGACTAAAAAAGCTGTTATCAAATTGATAGTGCAGAGCTTACAACTCATTGCAGATCAGAATCAAAAGTGTTAAAGTGATTTTTGCCCACCTACCCCCCACCTCCATGATGGTTAATTTTAGGTGTCAACTTGACTGGGTTATGGGGTGCCCAGATATTTGGTCATTCTTCTGGGGTGTCTGTGAGGGCGGTTCTGAATGAGATTAACACCACATATTGCCCCACATATTTAAGTTGAGGAGCCTCAACTCTCTGCAGACTTATCACTGCCACAGGCTGCCTGGAGCATTTTTAGACCCTGGAGGTTCCACAGCTCTGGATTCTCAATGAGCCCATGGATTCCCCCACCTTGAGAGAGGGGGCAAGGACCACCCCAGGGGATGCTGGGAAGAACTGCAGAGCATCCTCCAATAAGCCTTTGCAGCTCTCTTCCCTCTTCCCCATCTCCTGAGCCCAGCTTTCTGCATCCTCATTCTTTTGGAGGAAAGACAAAAACAAGATCGCCTTATTCCTACTCAAATTAGCAACTTCATGGCTTAACCTTCCTCCAAAACTAAACTGAGAGTGGCAATATAGGGGATTTGGATTTTCTTCTTCACATATTCATCTCCTAAATGTTTCTCGGTGAACGTGTGTTACTTTAATCAGCAAAGATGATACAAATTATTGATTCATTCTGCATTCACTCTATGAGAGGCAGAGTTAGCTCAGCATTTGAGGACTGGACGCATTGGAGCAGACCGCTTGGGTGCAAATCTCGACTCAACTCTGTGACCTCAGGCAAGGGTCTTAAATGCTTTTGTAAAATAAGTATGAAAATTGTAGTTACCTCACAGGGTGGCAGAGATTAAAAGTTAATTGAAGCAAAGGAATTGGCATGTGCCTGACAAATAGTAAATGCTCAGTAAGTACTTGCTACCTATATTATCATCATTTTATAGTATGTATATATAGTATGATATAAAATATAAACATACATGATATAGTATCTGATATGGTTTGGCTCTGTGTCCCCACCCAAATCTCATCTCGAACTGTAATCCCCGTGTCGAGGGAGGGACCTGGTGGGAAGTGATTGGATCATGGGAGTGATTTCCCCCATGCTGTTCTCATGATAGTGAGCGAGTTCTCACGAGATCTGATGGTTTAAAACTGACAGTTTCCCCTGCATTGTCTCTCTCTCCAGCCACCATGTAAGATGTGCCTGCCTTCCTCTTTGCCTTCCACCATGATTGTAAGTTTCCTGAGGCCTCTCCAGCTATGCGGAACTGTGAGTCAATTAAACCTCTTTTGTTTATAAATTATCCAGCCTCAGGTGGTACCTTTATAGAAGTGTGAGAATGGACTAATACAGCATATATTAAGTTCCTGCTACATGACAGGCATTAGAAACGTAGTGATACAACTAATCACCTAACCCCATGGGTCTTAACCTATCTAGCAGGAGTGGGACATTATATAAATACACACCTCTTTCTGTTCCAGGATCCAATCCAAACTGCTTTGCACTTTGTCATCATATCTAGACTAGAGGGTTTTCTTTTTGAAAGCTCAAAGCTGATCCTTTTCCTGCTTTGAGCTCCCAATACTTTTCCATGACACTCTCAATAAAATCCAAACTCCTTGCTTTGGTCTCAATCTCAAAGCTCCCCATATTTTCACCCACTGACCCCTCTTCCTTTCCCCCACCAGGCTCCCCTCACTCAATGACCACCAGGCACACTGGCCGTTCATCAACTCTTTGAATCCCAAGCTTCCTCCAGCCTTCACATTTTCTGTGCCTCCTGGCTGGAAATCTGTTTCCTCAGAGGTCCTCATAATGTTTCCTCTTCATGTTTAGGTGTAAGTGCGAATATCACCTCCTCAAGGAGGCCTTCCCTGGTCATCCCAGCCAAACAAGTCTCAGCCCACCATAGTCACCGTCTAATACACAGTGGTTTTTAGAAGACCACTAATTGCTAAACTAATCCTATTTATATGTTTATAATTTACAGTCTAACCCTCAGTACTGGAGTATAGGGACCTTTTCTATCTTGTTCACTACTTTTTTTGTCTTTTTGAGACAGGTTCTCACTCTGTCACCCAGGTTGCAATGGTGATCACAGCTCACTGTAACCTCAAACTCCTGGGCTTCAGTGATCTTCCTGCCTCAACCTCCCAAGAAGTTGGGACTACAGACACATGCCACCATGTCCAGCTAACTTCTTCTTCTTTTTTTTTTTTTTAATAGAGACAGAGTCTCACTATGTTGCCCAGGCTGGTCTGGAATTCCTGGTCTCAAGTGATCCTCCCGCCTTGGCCTCCAAAGTGCTGGGACTACAGGCACAAGACACCATGCCCAGCTCACCATTTTATTGTAGGTGCCTAGGAGAGCATGCTGCACATAGTAGATGCTCAATAAATATTTGTTAAAATAAATACTATTGGAAGGAATGAATGGATGAAGGACAGGCATATATTTTCAAATGTTCACAGATGTGTCGCAAGAACCTAGTGCAGTGCCTGGCACATAGTAGGTGCTCAATGAGTACTTGTCAAAATACAGACTGAGGGAATGAATGGATAAAGGGCAGACATGCACTTTCAAATGTTCATTGATGTGTCCCTAGAACCTAGCTATGGCACCTGGAGCATAGTAGGTGCTCACTAAATATTTGGTAAAATAAAAATGGGTTAGAAGAGTGAATGGATGAAGGGAGGACACCATTTGTTTTTTTAGACAGGGTCTCACTCTATCACCCAGACTGAAGTGCAGTAGCACGATCTCAGCTCACTACAACCTTTGCCTCCAGGGCTCAAACAATCCTCTCACCTCATCCTCCCAAGTAGCTAGGACCACAGGCACCAACATGCCAGGCTAATTGTTTGATTTTTGGAAAGACAGGGTTTCACTATGTTACCCAGGCTGGTCTCAAGGAGCCTGAGCTTAAGAGATCTTCCTGCCTCAGCCTCCCAAAGTGCTGGGATTACAGGCATCAGCCACACTTGTTCACTGATACGTCCCAAGAACCTAGCCCAGTGCCTGGCACGTAGAGGCTGCTCCATAAATATTAATATTTGTCAGATGAATGGCATTTGAGTGAGCACCATCCATTGTTAAAGAAAGAGGTGACCACATAGAGTGAGTCGGCTGGAGGCCACTCTTCTGCCCAAGGGCCTCTCTCAAGAAGTCACCAGAAAGGAAGGCTGGGAGCCCTTCCTGGCAGCTGCCAGAACATCTGTCTAGAGAGGCCCCGGGCTCACCTGGGCTGCGTGGAGGCCTGGGCTGGGCTCTTTTGAGCGACTCTCACTACTGGCTCAGGAAGTTCCACCCAGTGCCGCCCCAGCATGGAGGCTCCTCTGTGGCCTCAATGCAAACTCGCCTCAGAAAAGGCAGCTGATTAACACGCGTGGAGGGTCTATTGTCTGAATCCCGTCACCAGCGGAGAAACAGCTGTTTATAGTTTGTTTATTCCTCTCCCTTTGGAGCCCACGGGAGGAAACACAAGCGCTTGTTCTCAGGGGCACCATTCAGCAGCTGAAGTGAGTGAAGAAAACGGTGTTTATTTTTAATGGGATAAAGAGGGGGAACTCTTACAAAGTTTGGACACTAGCAGGGAGACCGCTCTTCAGGAGGCACCAGGCCTTGTGGTGATGTGTTGCACCCTGCCTCTCGAGGGATGCTCAAGAGTCTATTCCAACTCCCAGCTGGAAACTCAGGCTCGGGCCACGGTGGTCGGTCAAACAGTAGACTTGGGTGAGCACCTATAGATATGAGAGATCTAGAAAAGCTCGTCAGGCTTGAAAATGAGAGAGCAAGATTTCTTTGGAGAGCAACCACCTGCTATTTAATATAGGTGACATCCTATAAAGGGCTGCCAAGCCCAGTTGTGCAGGCTGGGCACTGCACAAAGGTGTCCAGCTGAGGGAGAAATCCAGCCTCTGTGAGCTGCTCATCAAGCCATGCTCCACAGTTTCAAAAATAAATACATACATAAATAAAGATGACTAAGTGAGACAACAGCAGTCTCACAGATATATAGATGTATTTATGTACTTCATCTTTAAATGCTCACTTATTGACTCTTCACAATAACCTTTCAGATTAGGGACCACTGTCATCCTCACTTTACAGATGGCACACTGAGGCAGAGAGAGGGAACCTGACTGCTCCAAGCTCATCCAATTAGGAAGGAGTGAATCCAGGATTCAAACCCAGGCTCTTGGTTTCCATCAACAGGTGATGCTGCCTCTTCTAGGAAAAAAAAATGGCTCAACAAGCCCCAGAGTGTCATATTCAGAAAACACAGTGCCCCTCCCAGTCTTGGGAGTGAGACCTGCTTTCAGAAACACCCATGTCTTCCCTCGATTCTGCAGGTGATCAGGCTGGAAGGAGGTAGGCGAAGACCCCATCGTCTGCATTACAAGGAACTCCTTCTAAAGACTCAAAAGATTTGCTCTGAACTGGTGAAAGTCTGGGGACTCCCACTCAGCCTGGAGACTCAACCAACCCTCAGCGGGGAACAGCCCAACCCAACCAGAGCTGAGGCCACCCGCTGCTCCCTTCTCAGGGCCCAGGGTCAGCCAAGGCCATTTTCAAGTGCGGGGGACTGCAGCCAAACTCGCTGAACCAGACCCAGGGGAGCCCAAGAGGGACCTCTGGACTCAAGGGAAGAGGACGCTCTCATCCCTGTCTACTCTCCCACCCACCCCCTCCTCCCCTCCATCCCTCCCTCCTTCGGAGAGCCTCCACATTCGAATCTCCGAAAATGGTTTTCACAACTCAGTTAGCAGCAATCAATTATTCACGACCTCGCTTCCCCACCAACTCATAGACTGTCACTGTTAGCAAGATAATTTCTGGACTCTGCCCAACAGCCCTGCTCTAAACCAAGCGGCCTGCTATTTATTTCCTCTCTTCCCTAAGACCCTCCCAATGCCCACCAACCACTATCACTCTCAACACAGGACAGAGAGACAGATGGGAAGTCCCCTGGGTGCCTGTAGCCTGGGAGGGACCTGACAGCCAGGGGCTGCTCCCAGCCCACGTGATACATTTCAGGCTTGGGGCAGAATGTCTGACCTTAGTTTAATCCAACTGGAAAACAGGACTCAAGCATTCTAGACCCTGTGCCAGGCTCTGGGACAAATCCCACATTATTTTATAAAACGCTTTAAGCTCCGAAAACATTGTGTCCTGCACAAAGCATGACTTGGGAGGGTCTCCCAGACATGCCGTCCTGCTGCTGAGTTCATGGGTCAAAGACATTTGGAACTTGGCAGGGGCTCATATTTTAAGACTACCACTAGCATTTCCATCCTAGAAGCTTGAAGCTGTCTTTAGGAACATATTCCTACATCCCAGGGAGAAGGAGAGAGGTGCTTATGGGATGCTCTTGGAAAAAGAGTTTCAGCCTATGTCGTAAGACCCATGGAGGGTGGTTGGATAGCAGCTCTGCTGTGTGAACAAGCGACCTTCCACGAAAGCCACTTTTCACCCTCTAAGCCTCAATGTCCACATTTGTAAAATGGGAGAATATGAGTACTACTTCTGGGGCTGCAGTAAGAGTTTTAAAAAATGAGGCATTTAAAAAACACCCAGTACCTTGCTTGGCACATTGTGGACATTGTGGCCTCTGTGCTTCATTGTAAGACCCTGTCGCTTGTGACATGCATCATTGATTGAATAACAATTTGGGGCAAAAGGGTGTGTGCTGAAACATTAAGGAAACATACACATCAATTGTAAAATTCATCCCAGATTTCAGAAAGGCTATTTACTAAATATTAAAAATGTGTATCTTTGGCCAGATGTGGTGGCTCACACCTGTAATCCCACCACTCTGGGAGGCCAAGGCGGGTGGATCACTTGAGGTCAGGAGTTCAAGACCAGCCTGGCCAACATAGTGAAACCCCATCTCTACTAAAAATACAAAAATTAGCCAGGCGTGATGGCACATGCCTAAAATCCCAGCTACTTGGGAGGCTGAGGCAGAATTGCTTGAACCCGGGAGGCGGAGGTTGCAGTGAGCCGAGATTGCGCCACTGCACTCCAGCCTGGGCGCAGACAGAGCAAGACTCTGTCTCAAAAATAAAATAAAATAAAATGGCTGTGAGCCTGGGCGACACAGTAAAAAATGTGCATCTTAAAATGAAGCATATTATCATTATTATCATTATTACAATTGCTGTATTCATTTTAGGTGGGAAAATGCATACAGAGAAGCTATGTGACTGACCGCAGGCCACACAGCCAGCAACACAATCTAGTCCCCACACAGCTCCAGAGGAAGGAGGGAGAGGAAGAGGCAGAGTTGACCAGGCAAATCTCCCTCATCCAATTCCTCCTCCTCCTACAAGAATCAACAGTAATAATAATAATGGAAGATGAGGGTGAGGGGAGGTGGAGGGGGGAGGAGGAAGAGGGGGGAGGAGGAAGAGGGGGAAGGGGAGGAGGGTGGAGGAGGAGGAGGGCAGAGGAAGAGGAAGAGGAGGAGGAAGCAGCAGCAGCAGCATGTTATGGTGCTTAATACAGGCCCAGACACTGTGCTAAATGAGGTGCATGTATTAACTCATTTATTTCTCCTGACAACCCTTTGAAGTGGGTTCATCATCATCCCCATTTTACAGATGAAGGAGCTGAGGCACAAAGACTTCAGTCACACAGCTGCTGGGTGGCAGAGCCAGGCTGCGAACTCCGGCACCTTGGCGCCAAGTCCCCGTGCTTCTCTACTGCATTGCACTTCATTCCACCAACTGAGACAAAGAGGGACGTTTTGGTGGAGAAGGAAGTGGCATATAAGTGTCATGCCATGCCTGGTCTCACCCACACGCCCAAGGAAGTTCCTCTGAACCCACAGAGCATGCCCTGGGCTCCCTCTGATGAAAGCAAGTTCATGCCTCTCTTCCACTCTCTCCTGCTGCCCCAGGCCAGCTGAGCAGGCCAAAGGAGGGCTGGGGCCAAATCTGCAGCCCCATCCTGGGGAAAGGCTCTGACGACAGTAGCCAGCTTCTCACTGCTGTCTGCAGGATCTCAGCAATTCCACGGGCATGGAGAACAGCAGCCCCTGGAGAGGGTAGGAGAAGATTGGGTGTCTGCCAGGCCTGCAGCTGTGGACACTTCCCCTATGGGCTGCGGGGACGGGGCAGGCCCAGCACCTGGAAGAGGGCGCCTCCCCTGTCTGGCTGGTCTTCAGTCCCATCAACGGGACTTAGCATCAAGTGACGTGGTGGTTATGCACACGGGCTTGTGGGGAGCTGTGCAACCTTGCGAGAGTTACTTCCCCTCTCTGTGCCTCACTTCCTCTGTCCATAAAACAGTGACTCTGACAATGCTGACAACACTAGGTGTTGGAAGCATTAAATATAAAACGCCTAACATGTAGTATGTGCTTAATAAATGGTAGCTGCTAATTACTATTATTTATCATCATCAACAGGACTATGCATCAACTACTAAGAACACAGGTGGACCTTAAGGTGCCATCAGTATGGGTGAGGAGCTGACAAGAACCCATGGAACAAGGCATGATTCCTTGTTCTAGAATATCTTTGGCCTTTGGATCTTAAAATGTCATCTTAAAGTGGGGTTCCATAGCTCTCACTTTTAAGACATCTCATCTGATCTTTCAGGCAATTTCTGAAGGAAACAAAAATATTTACTGAGCACCTATTGTGTGCCATTCACTGTTTCCACCACTGGGAATAACCTGATGGAGTTAATGAATCCAAGACCAGCTATGATGGTGATGGCAGTTACTAATAAAAGGTGAGAAGGACCGGGAGTGGTGGCTCACACCTGTAATCCAGCACTTTGGGAGGTGGAGGCAGGCAGATCACTTGAGGTCAGGAGTTCAAGACCAGCCTGGCCAACATGGTGAAACCCCACCTCTACTAAAAATACAAAAATTAGCCAGGCATGGTGGCAGGCGCCTGTAATCCCAGCTACTCAGGAGGCTGAGGCAGGAGAATCGCTTGAACCCAGGAGGCAGAGGTTGCAGTGAGCTGAGATTGCGCCACTGCACTCCAATCTGGGCAACAGAGCGAGACTCCGTCTCAAAACAAACAAACAAACAAACAAACAAAAAAAAAAAGGTGAGAAGGATTCTAGAGTTTATTGTTAGGTAGAAGTGGGAGGTACTGGGAGGAAAGGACTCTTTTCTGCAGACAATCACACCAAAACAGCCACGTACACATGGAAGTGGGAAAGGACACGTGGGTCACACACACGGCTGGAAGAAGAGACATGTGCAATCAGGGCACAGGTAACCACAAGAGACCTAAAAGTTCAGAGCACAAGGGACCCAGAATCCCTCAGACCATTTTAAAGACGGGGAAACAGAGAACCTGAAAGGCAGGCAGCCCAAAGCCACACCAAGCAAGACACAGAACAGGTTCTGGAATCCAGGTATCCTGACTCCTGAAAGTCGAGATCACTTTGTCTTGCGTCGTAAACAGACTAAGACATTCCAGCACAGCACAGCCCGCCATCACAGACAGACACTGCTGCCAGGTCAGGCAGCCCCCATCTGCCATCTCTCTAGATCAGTGTTACCAAGCTGAGGGGAGTGTAAGACACCACCACCCTCAAAATCAAACACCTTAGGACAGGACCAAAGACAGGTAAGTTTTGACATGGAGATGAGGGAGAGAAGTTCCGAGTTGGGGACATCATCATTCTGCAGGGGCAGGTGGGGAATCGAAAAAGCCGTTGCATGCAAAGGACAAATGTTCTTTCATTGGAGGTGGAGTGATAATAACTGCAGAGGGACTCTGGGAAGGTTGTTGGACAGAGTGATTTTTGTCTTCAAAGAACGTGATCAACTTTTTGCAAGTGTTCAAGTTCCACCTCCAAATCTTGCAATTTCTAAACCAGTCAACTTTTCTAGGTTTTTAATAAAACAGAGATGATGAACCCATTAGCAGGGCTGTTGGGAACCTCACCCCAGAAAACAGTTGATGGTGGCCTGGAAGCCCCTGCAGGCTCTTGTTCCTGTCCTTCTTCCCAAATGACTTTCATGTCCTTGTCATAATGACCACATTGTTTACCTCCTCTCCCCGCAATCCATGCCGGACTATCTTCTCTTTGTTTCATCTTAAATGTCACCTTGTTGGAAAAGCCTTCCCAGATGACCCTCCCCTTCTCCCTGACTCACTGTCCCCTCCATCGGAACCTGAGCTGCAGGAAGTCAGGGAACGCGTTCTGTCCACTGCTCCAACCCCAGCTCCCGTGCAGTGACTGGCACCTAGTAGGCTCTTGGTAAAATCTGTTGAGTGAATGAATAAGTGTCTGCAAACATCCTGGGTACATCTGTAAAGCATGCACTCATAGAAAACTTCTACTATGTGACACACAGTAGATTATCAATGGCTGTTGCTGAGAGGACATCAAAGTCAATTCCAAACCAACAAGGTCGGCTTCCCATTTCCGCTGTGGAGTAGCCTTGAGCTTAGTGAGATAGAAGACTCTTGCCCATCACCCCAGGGACCTGCTCCCCAGAGCTCAAGGCACTCAGTAATGAGGAAAACCCTGGCTTTACAAGACACAGTAAGGCATGAAAACTGGGGAGAAAGTTCACTGGGAACCTGCAGGACACTACAGGTATTCTACAAAATGATAAGCTACTCTGCCATTCTTAACTATTCTTAAAAATGAGAGGAAATTGATCAGCAGAAAAAAGGTACATGAAGTGTGCTGTGTTTTGATGTGGGCAGGCTAAGTGATAACTTCCCCTAACCCGCCCATCCTAATAACATGAAACCAGTGGTGCCTCCTGCTACTGACAGGTTCCCTTACTCAATTGCTATAAGAGAAGCATTGAGCAAGCATTGAGAATTAAGGAACCTACAGCCTATTCATAGATTCTAACCCTAAGAGGAACGAAATTAGCACTTTGTATGGTTGGGTCATTAAAGGATCTCATGAATTAATACTATCGTGTTTGCATTCTGTTTTGTGAATTTCTGCCTTTATTTTTCTTAATGTCCCTTTCCTACTTTCTTTTGTTTGATTCTCAGTTTTTTTCTTTTTTTTTTTTTTTTTGTTAGTAACAGGGTCTCAGGCCTGGCACCATGGCTCACACCTATAATCCCAAAACTTTGAGAGGCCAAGGCAGGAGGGTGGCTTCAGACCAAGGAGTTCGAGACCATCCCAGCCTCAATTATTTTTTTAATGGACTTTTATTTTAATTATTTTACTCTTTCATATTTAATGTCAAAACCTAAAGTGCTTTTAAAATAGACTACCAGTTTTCCTCTGGGCACAGTTTTAACCTTATCTCAAGTTTTGATATGAAGTATTTTCATTTTCGCTAATCAATATATAATCTGAAATGTCAAATTTAATCTATTCATTGATCTAAGAATTACTTAGAAGAGTTTCGATTGTTTAAATTTCTATGCGATTGTCTTTTAGAGGCTAATTTTCAATATATCTTATTGTTTTATGAAGGAAGCCTGGAAGTTTTCTACTTTTGAAATCTATTAAGATTCTTTTTAGACCAAGTTAATTATCAGTTGTAATTAGCACGTTAGAACATCTAGAAAGTAGTCTTTAAAAAGAGAAGTTCTTCCCCTAGAATACACACACACACACATACACACACACACCTTTGTAAAGAGTTTCAATGAATACTTACAATTCTAGTCTTACCTTAACAAAAGTAAATATTCCAACAGAAAAAGACAACCTATTAAGCTAAAGGGAAAGGAGGCAAACTACCAGAATTTAAGGGTTAAGTTTCTCACATCTGGGAATTCCACTCTGGAATCATAACCACAATAGCATTGCAGCTTTGCAGCCCTATTTTAAAGACGAAAACTGAGGCTTCCAGATCCTGAGTCACATAGAAAGGATTTTAGCTGAGCCCAAGGGTTTCAAGTCCACAAATCCTTTCTGCACTAAATTCAAATTTCATTCCAAAAGTAATACTAAAACAGCAGCTGACCTTCTTCTCTTGTGCCATTCCTTAAGTTTGTTCATCGCACCAGGCAGAATCAGAAGACAGGCTCCTACAACAGCTAGGGCTTTACTCCTGGTAAAGTGGGTTGGCTTAGGAGAAGAACGGACAGGACTCTTTGACAAGCCCCAGAAAGAATATTAAGTCATTTTTCAGCCAGCACCAAGCAAACCTGAAAGATGGGTGGATCCTAGGGTATCCTAATTTTACTCTTCCAACCCTGTCAGTGCTAGTGTCCAAAAAGTGGAGCAGCAAATGGGAAGTGACTGGCATTCAGAAACTGACACAGGATCCTGCATTTCTAAACAATGCTGACAACGCACACTGAGGCAGCACCTCCGGGGAAGTCTCCGTGCTCCGATGCTGTGGCCATGTACAGCATATGCAGTCCCCAAAGGGATATTTCAGCACAGAGTTTCAATGTAAAATGACACACGCTACTGCAGGCTAGAGATCTTATTGGGGACACAGGGCTATATTCATCTGCTTCCCAGCAAGAAAACCAGAAAGCCAGAGATAAACAGAAGTCAATCAAAGCAGAAAGTGACATCTAGAAAAAAAACACCTAATTCTGCCAAACCTGTTTTGCTGAATAAAGATAAGAGCGCTGTGGACAATATGGCTTTGGTATAAGAAATTAAATGATGGCACCATTCCCAAAAGCAACTAAAGCAGTTGACATCGGGCTTGTTCCCAACAGCCTAGAAGGGACTAAGAATGGAAGAACAATGGACAATTAAGAAACTGTTTCTACGGACTCTGAATTTTGCAAGACTAATTATGAAAATAAGCCTTGTTACAGAGTTTCAGCATTTGAAAGTATTACTGTGCTTTACTTCCTACTCTGAAAGGTAAGACTTCCAAATTAAAATATAATTGTCAAATCAATTGGTAAAAAAAAAGTAGTTAAATTAATTCCGCTCCTAGGTATATACTCAACAGAAATGTTTGCATATGTTTGCCGAAAGAGATGTCCAAGAATGTTCACAGCAGCACTATTTATAATGGCCCCAAACTGGGAACTTCCCAAATGCCCATAAACAGAATGGATATGTAAATTGTGGTATATTCCACAATGAAATAATGCAAATGAACAATTACAACTCTGTGAACCAATATAGACATAGGGTTAGCAAACTTTTTGGTAACAGGCCAGATAGTAAATGTTTTAGGCTTAGGGCCCATACAGTCTTTGTTGCAACTACTCAATTGTGCTGTCATAGCACAAAAGCGGCCATAGCTGATATATAAATGAAATGGACATGGCTGTGTTCCAATAAAGCTTTATTTATGATCGCAATTTTTTTTTTTTTTTTGAGATACAGTGTTACTCTGTCATCCAGGCTGAAGTACAGTGGCACAATCTTGGCTCAGTGCAATCTCTGCCTCCCGGGTTCAAGTGATTCTCCTGCCTCAGCCACCTGAGTAGCTGGGATTACAGGCATCAACCACCACACCCAGCTATTTTTTTGTACCTTTTAGTAGAGATGGGGTTTCAACCATGTTGGTCAGGCTGGTAGCAAACTTCTGGCCCCAAGTGACCCACCCACCTCGGCCCCACAAAGTGCTGGGATTACAGGCATGAGCCACCATGCCCAGTCAATTTGTGGACACAAATTTGAATTTCATATAATTTTCACGCGTCACAAAATATCATTCTTTCCTCCCCCCCCCGCCCCCCCCCGCAACTATTTAAAAACATAAAATCCATCCTTAGCTCACAGGCCATATGAAAACAGGCAAAGGACCAGATTTGGCTTGTAAGCTGGGGTTCGCCAACCCTGGACAGAGATAAAACTCCCAGACGCAATGTTAACCAAAACAAACCAGGCACAAAAGAGTACAGACTGTATGATTCCATTTCTAAAAAGAGGCAAAAGTACCTGGTGGGGTTAGAAGTCACGATAGAGACCCTATCCTTGCAGGCATGGGGTCAGAGTGGACGTGGCCGGGATCCCGGGGGCTGGTGGGCTCTGAATTCGGGTGCTGGTTAGTTGGGCGTGATCCCTTTCTGGAGCTGTTTATTCATGATTTCTGCATTCTTTCTCATGCATGTTCTACTTCAAGAGAAGTTTAGCAAGTTTTTATAATAAAGTAGCTTACAATTCAATCAGCTTCAAAAACAGAAGTATAAAGAGAACGAGAGCAATCAAATTAAATTAGTTATGACTTCTTCATGATGGCCAGGTACCTGCCAATGCTAGAGTACTTAAGAATATTTAATAATAATGGCTGGGCACAGCAGCTCACACCTGTAATCCCAGCACTCTGGGAGGCCTAGGTGGGCGAATCACTTGAGGTCAGAAGTCCGAGACCAGCCTAGGCAACAGTGAGACTCCATCTCTAAATAAATAAATAAATAAATAAATAAATAAATAAATAAATAAAAGGTAGATTTAAATTGTTTTCCTCTATTATTGTGTTTACTTCCAGGGTGGAGTTTGTTTCATGGTTTAAGGGATGGTGCTACCATCAGAATCCGGCCAGGCTATTTTCTGCGGCGTCTGCGCATAAAGATGATGTTCACCCAATTACCAGCGACTCCTCGCATGGAAATCTACCATCAATACTATTAACATAAACAGCATCTGGCAAAATACATGGCCTTCAACCTACAGCAAAACCTGCGCTGGACTCTCACAAAGGAAAAAGGCCAGGTCTGGCTTCCATTTGATTTCCAGAGAATACGCAATTAATTATTTTTTCTCACCGTCAGCAGCTGAGTCTCAGTGAAATCCGTGCTTGTAATTATCGCTGTAATTATTATTTTAATACAAATCAGCAACTTATCAAAATATTACGTGTCAGGTGCTACCTCTCTGCTGCAAGACTATGGATGGAAGGTGGAGGCCGTCACCCCAGCTTCACTCTGTGCACACAGAGGATGGGAATCAGGGTGAGGGTACTTCTACCAGAGCCAGACTTTCAGCTTCCTAGATGTCCACGTCCACAGTCAGTTTCACACTCGACCTTTTTTTTACAGGCAATAAGTCACTCTGTACATTCTATGTGGTGGTTTGATCTTGGGCAATTCAGTTCACTCACTGCTAGGTCTCAGTGGTACCATCTTTGCAGCAGGCAAACAGTACAAACCTTTTTTTTTTTTTTTTTTTTTTGGAGACAGGATCTTGCTCGGTCACCCAGGCTGGAGTGCAGTGGTGCGATCACGGCTCACAGCAGCCTCAACCTCCCAGGGTCAAGTGATCCTCCCACCTCAGCCTCCCAAGTAGCTGGAACTACAGGCATGCTACCATGCCCAGCTGATTGATTGTTTTATGTTTTTGTAAAGACGAGGTCCCACTATGTTGCCCAGGCTGGTCTTGAACTCCTGGGCTCCAGCGATCTTCCCACCTAGGCCTCCCAAAGCGCTGGGATTACAGGCATGTGCCACCACGCCCGGCAACAGTACCAACTTTCTGGCAGTGTCCTTCTGAAGAAAACCTAATGGGAGTTGTTACATCTTTCTGTGCGGCACATGCATGGCATTTGACACACAGGCTCCTGAGTCACGCTGGCTGAGTTGAAATTCCAAGTCTTCTCTGTGACTGCAGGTGATTTCTTACCCTCTCTATGCCTCAATTTCCTCATCTGTAGATGGGAATACTATCAGCAGCCACATCATAAGGCTGATATAATGATTAAAATGATAATCTAGGAGACGCTGCTCAGTACAGCACAGTGCCTGCCACGTAGTGACATCTAATAGATAATAGCAATTATTATTATTATCATTCTGAAAGTTGCAAACTCAAACCCCAACAGCCATCTTGTGGGTAACACAGACAAGTAAAGTGACCTGGTGGGCCCGTGTACACGAGGCAGCCACATCCCCCCTCACTCAAATGGTTACCTCTGGGAATGAAGACCAGAATTTCGAATTTCTTAATAGGCACTCTAAATTTGATTTGGATTGGAAATCATTGATTTTGGCTACTAATTCAAGTTTTGATTTTTAAAATTTACCTTTTCTTTAAGAAAGGAGGAAGAGGACCCTATGCTGTCATTATTCCATCTGGAGCCCACACCTGACTCACAAAGCTCTAGGTTTCCTTCTGGCTTACGTATTTCCCATCGCTGCTTTCTAGCACCCACCTTCATTGGAGGGCTGTATCTGCCTGCTCACTCCAATAAACAGTCAGTTTCCTCCAAATGTTGCTGTTGTGCGTTTTTTGTTTGCTTTAATTCTAAAAGAAAGCCAAACAGCAGTCAGCCTCCAGGCCAAAGAAGAATGAATAACCTAACTTCTACCCATTTCTAAACCACCCAGTCTTTCACTGAACATCCTTCCTTAGGAGACGTTTAGCTTAACATCTCTCCCTGCTTTCTGTCTTTAACTCACCTTCTAAACAAGAGAAAATCAGACGTCACAATTTGAAAACTATCCCTCAATAGGGTTACAAGAAAAAGCAGGCAATAAGAGCATTTTACATCCACAACAGAATCATCTGCAATACTTGATGACAAGCAAACGGGGTTCTCAGTGTCTTTCATAACAGCTGCCCCTTTTGAGCTAGGATAAAAGAAAGTGCAAAAGAGAGACAATGAATAGGCTTTTATTTCAAAGAGAACATCTGCAAAGCATAGTCCTCCATTAAAAAATAAACAGAAAACAGCCACTAGTCTGGGGAAAAAAATAAGATTTCCCATTACATCTCTAATTAATAAAGCCCCATTTCAAAAGGAAAAAAGAAGAAGAAAAAAAAGAATAACTTTTTCACATCCCCAAAGAAAGGATGCTTAATGAGGTAACTGTTGTATTACTTGATCCATCTAGTCTGGTTTTAATACTATCCTTAAATAATGTATACATTAGCTTTCCATTACCAAAAACATTTGTTTATTTTATGAACGTGAGTCTGGTTGAGAGCTGAGACTCTGCAAAATTATCATGCCGTCCTTGGGCTCCCGGCTTTTATTGCTTCTCCCCTCGCTCATTATGAAATGATTAGTTGTCTCCGATGCCCTTTTGAATTGCTGCTAACGTTGTACTGCGGTTCTGTTACCCTGGTTCTGAATAGGAGAGTCTTGGTTCAGGGTTAAGTTAATGTAGTCATTACTGGCCCATTTGGGGACCCATTCATCATGCTAATTTCATGTCCAACACTTGGGGGAATAGAGTACAAATACTCAACGTGAAGCAAATGCACAGTGAATCCAAAAGACGCACATGAAATGTCCAGAACTCAGTCACAGAAGACAGGCATGGGGAGCTCTGGGGCCATTACTTTCCATAACTGTGGGAGCAATGCAGACATCAGAGAGGGCCTCCAATGGGGAATTCCTTTCCAAGGGACCCAGAGCACAGTTCCTCCTAACATCTAACTTTAATCCTTTCCACTTGAACTTCAGAACAAAACAGCACAGCTGTTTACCAGAGGAGCAAAGACTCTTCAAACTGGTTAAGTTGACATTGACCAAACCTTGGCCATCTCAGCACTTCCTTGATCGTCATTAACCAACCAAGCTGCAATCAGGATTTGAAATCCAGTTAGAGTTTGCTTATGTGTTTTCATTTTGTTAACCCACTTCTTCTTACTTAAATGCCACTTTACCTGCATGTTAAACGAGAAGAGTGTTGAAGCTGCCGTTTTGATTGGCTGGTTATATTTCTGTATTTTCCATAATATACATTTAAAGAAATATACAGCGATTAATAATTTCTTTAAATATTCACCCAAGAAGAAGAGAGTGCATCTGGGATGTTGTCAGTGCTATGATTCCTGGTCTAGGATACTCGGATGTGTTCAGTTTGTGAGAATTCATCAAGTTGTATATTTAGAGTAATGTTTGTATCATATGGTTTTGTTGGGAAAAAAGCAACTAAAAGAACGCAGGCAATATTTAAGAAGTGAGCCAGACGTGGTGGCTCACGCCTGTAATCCCAGCAGTTTGGGAGGCTGAGGTGGGAGGATCACTTGATCCCAGGAGTTCCAGACCAGCCTGGGCAACATAGCAAAACCCCACCTCTTCAAAAAATACAAAAATTAGCCGGGCATGGTGGCACGCACCTGTAGTCCCACCTACTCAGGGGGCTGAGGTGGGAGGACTGCTTGAGCCTGCGAGGTCAAGGTTGCAGTGAGCTGAGATCAAACCACTGCATTCTAGCCGGGGTGACGTAAGGAGTCCCTGTCTCAATAAATTAACAAATAAATTTAAGAAGTGAATAAATGTTGTACAGATACGAATAGTAACTTTTTATAAAGAGTTTTTACAGAATATCTGCCCTTGTAGCACCTCCAACCACTGGTGCATCACGATTGGTGTCTATACCATATTTTGGATTCCTGGGGCTCGTTTAGGACTACTATGGCAAAAGGCATGATCCAAAATAAATCCTTACCCCTGAATAAGTAAAATAAATCCACCCATCCAAAACAAATGCTTATCCACAGCTCTTTCTTTTCGTTCAGCTCCCTAATGGTTTCCTTCGCTGCATTTGTAACAATCTGATTTTTTGCAATGTTCTTGTTTGTTTTTATTGGGAGGTCATCCTGCCCCCAAACCATAAAGAGCATGAGGGCAGGGTCACATCTGTCTTTCCCCCTGCTGTGCATAAGGCCTGGCACACAGCAGACCCCAACCAGTATCTGATGAATGAATGGATGAGTAGGTGGGAAATTTCCAGTGGATTTCACTCATTCATTCTCTCCCTGTCCCCCACGGGTTACAAGACGCTGTGAGGAAGGAACGCAGACAACCCCGTCTGAACACTCCCACATTGTGCTGCTTGAAGACATGAGCCCCGTCTTCCATTCACATGGGGCTTTCTGAGCTTCAAAGCACTTTCTCATCTGTTTATCAAATTTAATCCTCACAACCCAGGGAGGGAGGCAGGCTTATTAGCATCATCTGATGAAGTGCCAAAAAGACACAGAGATGAAAGTCACGGTCCGTCCCTGACAGCGCTGGGACCAAGCCAAGGTGCTCAGGAATGTTCTACTTTTCCACCTCCCCCTTGTCTCTAAAGACTCCCAACTTCCCAATGCGTGTTATTGGGGGACAAGGTCACGGGAAACACAGAGTGAGGGGCAGATGACTCAAAGGAGGCTGTCACTCACACTCCCTGCAGAGGGGAAACAGGTTTATCAAATTGCGGAATGCATGATTCTATTTCTGTCGGGGACATTTGCCTTCAGGATGGCCTCATGCTTATAAGAATTTGCATATTCTGGGTCTCCACCACCAGCTAGGCGGGGAGGGAGACTCCATCATGCCAGGGCAAGGCACAGGCAGTGAGAGGCAAATAAGTGCAGTGAATAAGCCACATGGGAATAGGGTAACCACAGATGCTCATTTTTATGTCTTCATAGTGAACACGGAGGTCTTCCAAATGGGCTGCAAACTCAACAGCCAAGAGGGGCCAGCCAGGTGCCACAGGTGACAGGAGAGATCTTAGGGGGACTCTTAGGGACCCAGTGGGTCTGCAGTATCACCATTCCTCAGCTTGGCTGTTTAACACCAAGCAAGCACCGTGGACCCTGTATTGCCGGATCTTATGACTTTTAAAAGAATTCCAAAAATCTACGCTGTCTCACGGCATATCCTAATCTTTAAATTCCAGGGCCTATTTATTCTAACACACCGTGTGGACAAAATCAAACCCACCCACGGGCCATGGATTTGAAAGTCCTCCTGGCTCTAGCAAACATCTCCTACGATGTGGCTGCATCAGGTGGCAGAGCAGAGCACTGACCATGACCCAGAGCTGTGCCTCACCATCAAGCCCTGCCAGGTAGGTGCCATCATGGCCCCTGTGCTTCAGACAAGGAGACTGAGCTCCAGAGAGGCAAAGTGCCATACCACCGATGATGTCAGACCACTGTCTTCTTCCTCAACATCACACGACCTGCCTCCCAGGCCCCACAGCATCTGCCCATCTGCTCCCCTGGATCATTTCCAGGGTTGTTTCATGAGCTACAAGAAGAAGAGCTTGGGCCCCATGAGCAGAGCAGCCCAGGCCTCATGGACAGTTCTGGGATGGCAGAGACCTCAGGGCTCCCAGGGCTCTGAATCATACTACTTACTCCTTGCCCTGACCTTCCCAGAGGACACCTCCCTTGTGTGTTCAAGAGGTCACCATGGGAAAGGGTATAGGCAATGAACCAGGCTAGGATGTGAGAGTGATCTCCCTAGAGATCGGCCACTTATCAGCACGGGCTCTAACTCTTGCCTGCTAGACTGGTCCTCCTGGAGGGCAGGAGGCACATTGGTCCTGTTCACCAAGGTGGTTCCAGTGCTGGACACAGGGACTGGTACCTTCTAACTGCAGGAGTGGAGGATGGGTAGATAGGTGGATGAATGGATCGATGGGTAAATGGATGGACAGATGGATGGATGAATGGACAGAGGATGGATGAATGGACGGATAGATGGATGGATGGATGCTTAGACAAATAGATGAATGGACTGATGGATGGATGGATGGATGGATGGGTGGACAAATGCATGCATAAATAGATGGAGGCAGGGGGAGAATGAGGGGCTAGAGTCAACGGACTTACTGACTCTGAACTGGGTAGACTGAGAACACAGCCTTTGGAGACACCACCCAACTTCAATTTCTAGTTTGGACACTTCACATCTGCTTAATTTTCATCCAACTTATTGCCTTAGTTTTCATTATTTCAATCAGTAAAACAGAAATGAAAATAATAGCTCTTAACTTGCCAGATGTTATAAGAATTCAATAAAAGCATGTCTTTTTAGTCCTTCCACAGTGTTTGGTGCATTCGATAAATGCACCTCATCATCACCATAGTTGCAATGTTTGTGCCTCCTGGGTAGGGAACATTTGCATCAACCTCTCTGCCCCACAAACTCATCTTAAACTGAAACCACACATCTTGTGGCCAAAAATTATGGCAAAGCGTGCCCTGGGAGGAGAAACAAATGCCTCTTACCACATTACCTCATTAGCATCCACTGACACATTAGCCTGGATTAGATGTCCAGATAAGCAGTAGTCACCTGGCTGGGACAAACTAGGCCTGGGACAGGACAAATCCATTCATTGCCCCTAGGTGGCCCTGAAAGATGAGACACCCTCGTCCACACACACAAAGCTTGAGAATGGGTCCCACCCCTTCCTCATCTGGCAGGGTGTCTGGGTTTGCAGTTCCTGACACTAATAATGCCAGTGTCCAGGTTCAGGGCTAAGGTGACACCCCACCCCACACCCATCTTCTTTGTGATGCCTCTGGCTTCCAATCGGGAAGGGGGCAACCGAACCCAGAGAGCACATGGGCACCATCTGATGAGCATCTGCGGGCAAACGGGTAGTTTCTGTTGCAGGCGGAAGGAAGTGTCCGCAAGATGATCCGCACTGCATGTTTATTGAGGTAACTCTCCAGTGTGCTGCAGACCCAGGCTCTCAGGTACAAGTGGCGGGCTCCTCAGTGGGCCAACCACAGAGCGGTCTGAAGGAATGGAGCAGCAGGAAGTCTGTTGTGGTTGAAAGAAAGGCCATTGTCCCCGGCCAAAGAACCCTGAACAATATCCTCTTGCCCCCTCCTCCGCTTCTCCCTTGGTTAGAGAGAGCTGAATTCAAGACTCCTCTCTCTAGCCAATTTCAACTTCCATTCTTGACTGTTGAAAATATAATAGTACACAGCTTGAAGGATTAAATGAGTTCATGCACAAAGAGGGTTTAGAACAGTGCCTGGCAAACAGAATAGAGAACGCAGAAATAAACCCACACTTTAATATCAACTCATTTTTGACAAAGGCTGGGGAAAGGAAAGTCTTCGATAAGTAGTGCTGGAAAAACGGGATAGCCATTACCTATGGATAAACTTAAGAATGAAACTAGGCCCCATCACTCACCATACACAAAAACCAAATCAAAATAGATTAAAGACTTAAATCTAAGACCCGAGACTATGAGACGACTAGAGAAAAAAACATTGGGGAGACACTTCAGGACGCTGAGCAAGAATTTTTTTTGGGTAAGACCACAAAAGCACAGGCAACAAAAGCAAAAATAGACAAACGGGATCACATCAAGCTACAAAGCTTCTGCACGGCAAACAATCAACAAATTAAATAATCTACAAAATGGAAGAAAATATTTGCAAACTACCCATCTGACAAGGGATTAATAACCAAAATATATAAAGAACTCAAACAACTCAACAGCAAAAAAACAAGTAGTCCAATTTTTTAAACAGGCAAAAGAGCTGAACAGATATTTCTCAAAAGAAGACATACGAATGGCCAATGGATATATAAAAAAATGCACAGCATCACTAATCACCAGGGAACTGTGAGTCAAAAGCACAGTGAGATATCATCTCACCCCACCTGAAAGGGCTTTTATCAAGAAGACAAAAAATAACAGACGCTGGTGAGGATGTGAGAAAATGGAACACTCATACACTGTTGGTGGGAATGTAAATTAGTACAGCCACTATGGAGAAGAGTATGAAGGTTCTTCACAAGCTAAAAACAGAACTACCATATGATCTGGCAATCCCACTACTGTGTCTACACAGGAAAGGATTAATTATCCAAAGGAAAGGAAATCAATAAATCCAAGAGCTATCTGCACTCCCATGCTTACTGCAACATTCTTCACAATAGCCAAGATATGAAATCAAGTTAAGTGCCCATCGGTGGATGAATGGATAAAGAAAATGTGGTAAACACACACAGTGGAATATTAGCCAGCTGTTAAAAAGTGAAATCCTGTCATTTGCAGCAACATGAATAAACCGGAGGCCATCATACTAACTGAAATAAGCCAGGCACTTAGAGACAAATATCACATGTTCTCACTCCTATGTAGGAGCTAAAAAAAGTAGATGACAAGAAGATAGAGAGTAGATAGGTGATTAGGGGAGTAGGGAGGAAGATGTTGATTGGAAGGATAAAAATCCAGTTAGATAGAAGGAATAAGCTCTAGTGTTTGGTAGTCCAGTAGGGTGATTATCATTAACAATAATCTATTGTATATTTCAAAATAGCTAGAAGACCCGGGCACAGTGGCTCACATCTATAATCCCAGCACTTTGGGAGGCCAAGGCAGGCAGATCACCTGAGGCCAGGAGTTTAAGACCAGCCTGGCCAACACGGCAAAACCTCATCTCTACTAAAAATACAAACAGAATTAGCCAGGTGTGGTGGCGGGTGCCTGTAATCCCAGCTAATCAGGAGGCTGAGGCAGGAGAATTGCTTGAACCTGAGAGGCGGAGGTAGCAGTGAGTCAAGATTGTGCCACTGCACTCCAGGCCGGGCAACAGAGCAAAACTGTCTCAAAAAAAAAAAAAAAAAAAGGAGCTAGAAGAGAAGAATTTCAGTGTCTCTGACAAAAAAGTAAAGATAAATGTTGGCGGTAATGAATATCCCAATTACTTTAAGTTAATCATTACACATTATATGAACCTATCAAAATATCACATGTACCCCAAAATATGTCAAACTATTATATATCCATTTTTAAAACCACCTAACACATCATAACTGCCATGCAGTCATTATTATTATTATTATCATTATTACTACCCTTGTATTTGCATCATGAGTTAGGGGTCTGATTCAATATAAATTGCATGTCTGCTTCTTTTCTAGGGTTGGTAACTTTTTAGGAATCTGCAACAAGAAGTGAGAAAAGTAGAATAAAGATTTTTGGGGCTGGGCAAAGTGGCTCAGGCCTGTAGTCCCAGCATTTTGGGAGGCCGAGGCGGGCGGATCACGAGGCCAGGAGTTCGAGAGCAGCCTGGCCAACATGGTGAAACCCTGTCTCTACTAAAATACAAAAATTAGCCAGGCGTGGTGGTGCACGCCTGTAATCCCAGCTACTCAGGAGGCTGAGGCACAAGAATTGCTTGAACCTAGGAGGCGGAGGTTGCAGTGAGCCGAGATCACGCCACTGCCCTCCAGCCTGGGTGACAGAGCAAGATGCTGTCTCAAAAAAAAAAAAAAAAAAAAAAAAAAAAGATTTTTGGGAATGCATGGTTGCATTTAGGGTTTTTCAACAAACCATGCAAAAGGAACGCAACTCGGAAAGGTGGCATCTTTGGAAAGGGGCAGGCCTGGGTTTGGATCTCAGTTCTGCTACTCCCCAGCTCTGTGAACTTCATGAGCAAGCAGCTTCACTTCTTTGAGCTTCAGTTTCCTCCTGGGGACAGCAAAAGTCTTATCCCACAAAGTTGGGAGAAATCAGTAAGACAGTAAGGTAACATTTACAAATCCCTCCATTATTCCTGCCACATAACAAGCCATCATAAGACCAGCGATTTCTAGTTGGGTGTCCTTAGTTTTAACTTTTTATCAGTTGTGTAATACCGTCTTCCTTCCTGGAAATTTTTTGTGTTTTTTTTTGGGGGGGGGGGGGGTGAGCATTTAATAACCTAACGTATGCAAAATACCTAAATGACACCTGACATACAGCAGGCACTCAATAAATGTCAGTACTCCTTCCTCTACCACATTCCGTCCTGCTCACACAGAAACAGCTATATTCATTCTACTGCCTTGGATTTACTCGCACCCTACACTGTACGGGAAAATGAATAACTGCAAGAAATTCCTTATTTTCAAACATACCAAGAATTTCCTTTTAAGAACAGCTCATTTTTGAACACTGATTAAGGAACAGGCCCACATGAGTTCACATATATTGCTACATTTCATCCTCATACAGCCCTATGAGGTAGCTCAGATTCACAGAGGACCGAAATTACAGTGACTTGCCCAAGATTAGGGGCATGAGAAAGGGCCGAGCCAGGAGGTGAACCCAGGTATGTCAGGCCTGAGGGTACTCAACAGAGGCCTCTTTCATTGGTGCCGGGGCCTCGCACATACTTGTTGGGACGTTTTCTCCTGTTCCCACACCCCTTCCTTAGAATGCAGGTTTTGTTAAGATCGAGTTTGTTTTTTAGTTATTTTTTATTTTCCCCAAGGCATTTTCTCTTTGTTTCTGGTAGATGGGGATCTGGGTCCGCAGAAATGGGGAAATGCAAAGGAAAAGGAAAGAGAGAGATCATAAGTGGCAGCTCTTAAGGTAGCACTGGTCAAAAGATAGAGACTCTCAACCTCACCTGTGCAGTCCAACAGGTGTGTGTGTTAAGTTCTTCTGCACTGAAACACTCATATAGATGGATTTATGACCTTATGGATCATAAACAGCTCTGGAGCGGGGTGTGGGGGGCAGACTCTTATGTCAGAGATATGCCTAAGGATATCTTTGCTTTCTGAGGATACACACACACATACACAATGACGCGATGATGTCAAATCTCTGCTTTAACTCAAGCCACCAAATTTCCTCTTCTATTAAAACCATGAATCAAACTTGAACAGTCACCAGTAAATAAGAACTTACGCCATGGCTGGCTTCCTAGGTGAAAAATAGCAAGCCTTTGACCACCCACCCTTCTGGAAGATTTTTAAAAAATGAATTGATAAACTGAAGAGAACGTCTAAAGTATGAAAAGACCGGAAGGAAAGTGAATACATAGATATATTAGAATTCATATTACAAACATATCTATACCTACGTATATTATTTCTACTTTTATTTATCTATTTTAACACTTTCCATGATAAACAGATGGCAACATTTGCAGTAAGATAAATATTATTCAATGATGCATATTTCTGTATACAAAGTGTAATGCGTCGCTCAAACAAAACAAAACTCCATTGAAAGTGTGAAAAAAAAAACGAACCATCAATAACATACCCTGTTTTCTGTGGTCTCAGAACATCTGGATAGGAAGAAAAGCTATACCTCCAAGGCTGTTAGAAGCAGAGGTGATCTAAAGCCAGTGAACCGATCTTTCAAAGTCACTGCTGATGTCTAAAAGAGTCCTGAGTTATCTGAGTAATGTGAAGCATGAGGAATTTCTGCCGAAAAATCAACATTTCAAAGGCGTCGGATAATACAGAAACCCCATTCTACTTTGTGTGCTTATGTAGGGCGGCAGGCGGGGGGTGGGAAGGGTAATAAAAAATTAGATTTCTTAAATGAAACTTACTGAGTAACAGTTTATCTAAGAACACGAGCAATAAATGTGGGGACTTCAAGAAGAGTCACTAAGGGAAAGAAAATAAACATTCATTACATTAACACACGCAGCTCTCTTTCATTTTCTCCAAAATCTATTCAGAACCTGTAGGCTGATCCTTGTGACAGTTCTCCCAATATTTTTCCTCCCTTTATAAGGGAGTCCATCTGTTTCTTAAATTCTGAGATGACAGTAAAATCCACAGCTTACTGGAGACCCAGTGAAGGAATCAGTGTCAGCCACAAAACAGCTGCAATCCACCCAATAATTCTAATATTTAAGAGCTTTAAAAGAGGCTGAGAGGAAAAGGAGAGCTTGCAAATCTTTTATGGACATGCCCTCTGACTCTGTCTACTTGAGAAACGGGGTGTTTCCTCTTGGCTTCTTAAGTGCACCAAAAATACAATCAGGGCCTTCCACCGAAGCGCAGCTCCCCAAACATAAAAAGGACAAATGCTCTGAGGCTGTGGGCATCAGGAAGGAGGAAGATCTGGCTTAGGAAATGCCCTATACACAATGCCTGCCTGACACTCTCTGCAACACACCCACCAGCAACCCAGGACACAGGTTCCCTCTACATGCAAGAGCCAAGGCTGTCCACCCACCCCATCCCCACCTGCAACAGAGCACTGAGCTAAAGCATCTTCTTCTAAGCATGTGTCTAACCACCTCTCTACAAGAGCCATCTGGAAAATCACGGGGATTTGTTTCTTTAAATGTCCCACTCCTGAATCTCCCTCCAAAGCATCATCCTGGCAGCCTCCGCAGGGTCTGGAAACAAACTGCACATTTCAACGGCCTCTATTGCTTGCGAAAAGGTCTGGTCCTCTCCTTGCCTGCAACCCAAGCTCCAGCTATACCAGACTTTGGGAACAGCCTGCCCCCTTCTGGTCTCCTGGAGCTCCATGGAAGGGCAGGAACTGGGTGGGCACAGTCAGAGTAGGACAGACCCCGGGCTCCAGCCAGCCTGTCTGTACTGTGATTTCAGGATTTAGCAGGTCATGGAGTAGGTGTGGGGGGAGAGGAAAGAAAGGAGACAAGCAAATGAAATAAAATACAAAGCCCCAAGAGACAACAGTCAACAGCATGGTAGACAGCCACCAAGAAGAGAAGAGAACCAAAAGAAAAAAAAAATACATAAATGTCCATCTTGGAAGGTAAAGAAATTGAGACATTAGGACATGCAGATTTGGGGAGAGTAACTGAACTTGCAGTTGGAAGCAGAGTTTCAGAAAAGCAAAGCACCTCCGCTGCTGGAACTGCAATTCCAAAAGGAAGTAAAAAGGAAAATAGTGTGTTCCCACCTACCTCCCCAACCGCAGATCTCTCAGAGGCTGAGCTGGGTGTGAGAGAGTAAAACACTGAGCCGAGCACACAGAGAGGGGCTGGGGGTGGATGCTCACAATGCCGGGGACCTATGAAGAAATCAGCTAGCCCTGCCTCCTTCCTTCTCTTCATTTGTTTCAACAGGTGCTACATGCATCCTAAAGGTACCTCCTGAACCCACTCTGACCCCCAGATGCAAATGATACAGTAAGCCCCAGGCTTCCCCCACCATGTCTCCCCTACACGTTCTTACACTGGACCAGCAGGACACGACCCACAACCCTCCCACCCCACCTCCTGGGCTCTGGATGCACAAAGAACTTCTAATTGCATTTCTGCGGGAACCCATCACTATCAACTCCAAGAGTTCAAAGGCAGCGTTTCAGAGTACCCCTCTCTGTAAAGAAGAGATCGCAGGACACTAGGAATGTTCTGGTTCTCCGTCAGGCAGCTCACGCCACTATTCTCCCCGCAAATGAGGGAAAGACTTCTCCCTGCTACCCACACAGCAACGTGAAATGCCATCACATCACGTCTTGGGACTGGCTCAGTTCTCAGGCATGAAGAGCTGCACTCCGGCAGAAAGGGTCGCACAGACTCCGAAGAAGTTTAGCAGCTCAGAAAGCATCACGCTGTGTACTAAGGCAGTCTTCAGTGAGGACTTCCAAAGTGACAAATGATAGAAATATGCATTCAGTCTTCAGGATCCTGAAACCATCCCCCTGGTGTCTAATATCCTTTAACGGCTAGGCAAATCCTTGCAGACAAGTAGTGTGATGAAGAAACAGACAGACACACAACACATTGGCTATGCCCTAAGGCAGAACTCACGCCCCTGGAGAACTGAGACCTTGGCTCTGAAATGGGGACTCCGGCCTCCTGCCCCATGTGCTCCTGCTCCTAGCTCAGTAGGCTGGGCAAGGCAGCCCAGAGAAGGTGGGAAAGGTATCCCTGGAGAAGTTAGGGACAGGGTAGGAAGACAAGTCAGTTCCCCACCCAGCCACCCAGATGGCCCCAGATCTGCGGAAAAAACAGTTTCAGAGCCCTGACTGTTCACACCCACGAAGGGCAAAGTAATCCCATAGGAGTGGAAGCCCTGACGGTGTGGTCGGACACACAGCTGGTGACCTGAACCGGCCGCAACAAGACAGAAAGACAGAGACAACCAGCTAGGAGAAGGAGCCATGCCCTGAAACTGGAGATGGGGAGGAGATAAAGTCACAGAGGGCATGGGAGACGGCAAGGTTAGAGACAGAGAAGGTGAAGACGGAAGGCTCAAACATCCAGAGAAGAGAAACAGAAGACCCAAAGTAAGACCAGACACCCCGGACTGAGTATTGATTCAGGGGCATGGTCGGGGACTTGGGACGCCCAGCTCAGCCCTCATCGCAGGCCAGGACGAACAGAGGGCTCAACTGTCTGCACCCAGCTCGGCAAAAACCAGAGAGATGCTGCTGCGACAACCGCCCAGGAACAGCGGCTGAGGATCCGGGGAGATCCACTCACTCAGGCAGGGAGCGAGTCACCAAGACCTACACGCACGGAGCAAGTCACCTGGGGTCCCCAGCAAGAGTGATGGGGAACAGGAACCCAGCCAGGCTCCGGTAACCCCCAAAGCGCCCCCGCTGGAGAAAACTTCCCCCAGACCCCAAGGGGTCCGTGCTCAGACTCTGAAAGGGGCAGCCCACGACCCCTGAGCCTTGGCAGGGACCCCACCCGGCTTCCCGGGGCAAGAGGCGATGTGGAGTCGGTAGGCTTGCAGAGTCCCAGTCTGATGACCGAGTTCAAGGGCTAGGGGGGCGTGGGGTCGGGCTGCCTTCCTCCCTCCCTCGCCGCGGGGCGCGAGCCGAAAGGGCATCTTACCAGAGCCCGGGCGGGCAGTGCCCCCCGGCTGGCCGGCTGCTGTCCCCGCGGTTCTCCGGGGCCGCCTCCCCGCGCCCGCGCCTGGGGCCCCCGTCCTCCTCCTCCTCCGCCGCCGCCTCCTCCTCCTCCTCGGGCTGCAGCCGGCTCGGCGGGCAGGTCCCGGCGCTCCCGGCGCGGGGCCGGGGCCGGGGGCGGCTGCTCCCCGCCGCCGACCGCTGCGCCCCCGCGGCGCTCCCCGGCCCCGGAGTCGAGGCTGCTGAAATTCCACACGACCAGCGTCTGCAGCAGCAGCACCGTGAGCGCCGCGAGCAGCGCCGAGTGCGAGCGCCGGGCCAGCCTCCGGGCGCACGGCGCCGCCACCATCTTCGGAGCGCGGCCGGCGAGCGAGGCGCGGGGACCCCGGCACGCTCCGGGCCGCCCCCGCGCTCCCCGCAGCTCCCGCGGCCGCCGGCTGCCGCTCGGGCTCCCGCTCGGGCCGCCGCCGCCGCCGCCGCCTCGGCTCGCCGCTGCTCCTCCTCCGCCGCCGCCGCCGCCGCTGCCGCCGCCGCCGCCGCCGCCGCCGCCTCCACCGCCGCGGCGCGGAGTTTTCAGACGGGCAGGGACCCGGACGTCACCAGGAGGAGGAGAAGGCGGGAGGCGGGAGCGGGGAGGCCGCGGAGGGGGGCGCCGGGCGCGCGCTCGGGGACGGGGCGCGCAGGGAGGGGCGGGCGCCTGGCCCGCGCGGCGCCCCCTCCCCACACCCCTGTCCCCGCTGGAGGGGAGGGTGATGGGGAAGGCGCCGGGGGGACGCGGGCCGAGGCGGAGAGGGCGGGGCCTGGGGGAGGAGCCGAGGGAGGAAAAGGAGGAGGGAAAGGAAGGGGGTGGGGGCGATCAGAGAAGACAGACACCCCTCAGGACGTAGTGGGAGTAGGATGGGGGGCGAGGGGGACAATTCCCAAGGCGGAAAAAGAGAGGCAGGGGCCGCGAAACAGGGGACCTTTGGTTGAGGGTGGGCCCGCTCAGAATCCAGGGGAGGTCAGGAAGAGAGGGGGTCCCGAGGTCCTGTTTTCCCTGTGGGCCGCTGGAAGGAGGCAGTGCGTGGAGGAAGCTCCTAGCCCCGGAGTTCGCGGTCCAGGGATCTTCTGTCGGTACCAGACCGGTTGGCAGGTGGACACGTGAGAAACATTTCAGGAGTGTCAGAGCCACAGTCTGATCCCTTCATCCTGGGCTTGAAGGGGTGGGGAGGAGGCTTTGGGTGAGTTTCTGGAGTTAATCAGCACAAGCTCTGTGAGTGACTCCTGAATCACACACAATCCCCGGTGCCAACGATGTACTAAGTGTTCACTGAGTCACTTCTCTGGTCCCTGAGGACTCACAAGCCAAGAGACTCCAAACCCAGTTGGCAAGTGGTATAGCGGCAAAAGGGAGACCCGTGGAGTTACTCAACCTTCGCAGGATGCAAGCCCCAAAGGCTGGCCCCGCAGCCTCCCAGCGTGTCCTTTTCCCCATCCATCCTGAAGTCCCCCTTCCTGTCTGCACAGGGCCCAGGTCCTGGGGAAACAGGTCTTGCTCTTGAAAGTGGAGTTCTTTCCCATCCTGACTGGTCTGTCCCGGTGACCTTGAGCCAGGAGGAGGAGGACTCCTCCCTGAGCCCAAGCTTTCTCCTCTGTCGTTTAGGCAGAATGATCCCAATGGACTCAAATTTCATCCCGAGCCTTCTCTGACTCAGTCTTTCTGGTTTTTCCCTCCCTTGTCCTCTTGCCCAGGGCTTTATACACAGCAGCGCAGAACAGTGAGCATATGGGATGGCGTTGGTGTCCCATACGGGACCTAGCACTCTGGGAATACAACAGCAGATCAAATCAGTTTGTGAATTGAGGACTTGGCGTGAATGCTTCGCATCTTGTCTGCTGTGCTTTTTCACCTCATCCTAATTTACAAAGAGAAGAAAGTGGAGTGTAATGAAGGCTCATCAGACAATGAGGCAGGGAGTGGGAAGAGATTGTTTCATCCACTCCACAAGCATCCGTGAATACAAAGCTTGTGTCAGACACTGGGCCAGGTGCACGCATCCAAAGGTGAATGAGGTTTAATCTCATCTTCAGCAAGCCTGAGGTCTAGAGAAGCCTGATGTGGATGTTAATCATTAAAATATAGTGAGATAGGCCTGGGCGCGGTGGCTCATGCCTGTAATCGCAGCACTTTGGGAGGCCAAGACAGGAGGATCACCTGAGGTCAGAAGTTCGAGATCAGCCTTGCCAACATGGTGAAACCCCGTCTCTACTAAAAATACAAAAATTAGCCGGGCATGGTGGCACACACCCCTGATCCCAGCTACTCAGGAGGCTGAGGCAGGAGAATCTCTTGAACCCAGGAGGCAGAGGCTGCAGTGAGCCGAGATCACACCACTGCACTCCAGCCTGGGTTACAGAGCAAGACTCCATCTAAAAAACGTATATATAAATATATATATATTGTATATATATATATTATATATAATGTATATAATAAATATATTATATATAATATATTTATATATATGTACATATAATATATATAATATATAATATATAACATATATATAATATATATATTTATATGTAAATATATATAATATTATATATATATATATGGTGAGATAAGCATTGCTGTAGAGATGTGCAAAAATGCTAAGGGTTCATGAGGGCAGGACGGGAGTAAGCGCCAAGAAAAAATGCTTTCTGAACCCATGTAATTAGCCAGTCCACTTGCCTGAACAAGAAAAGTATAAAATGTATGCTAGTGGGGGTTGTAAACTCCAAACCAATCAACCTTAGTTGTATCTAAAGCTTAGCCAGGCATGTAGCCTGGCATAGAGGCCTTCCCTTTGGGCCCAGCACCCCTAACCAGGAGTAAAAGACCAGAGGCAAGTTTCTAGGGCCACCAGTCATCTGTTTATCAGTTGGGGATATTTTGTTTACAAGCAATAACATCTATTACTAACAGTAATAAGACTTAAGTCTATCTTTTAAGTCTTTTTTTTTTTTTTTTTTTTGACACAGTCTCACTCCATCACCCAGCCTGGAGTGCAGTGGTGTGATCTCAGCTCACTCCAACCTCTGCCTCTTGGGTTCAAGTAATTCTCATGCCTCAGCCTCCCGAGTAGCTGGGATTACAGGCATGTGCCACCACGCCCAGCTAATTTTTTTTTTAGTACAGACGAGGTTTCACCATGTTGGCCAGGCTGATCTCAAACTCCTGACCTCAGGTGATCTGCCTGCCTCAGCCTCCCAAAGTGCTGGGATTACAGGCATCAGCCACTGTGCCCAGCCCGGTCTGTCTTAAAAATATACTTTACTGGATCATGTAGCTGAACATTGCAGAGGAAAGGCTTCAGGTGAGGTTTGATCTAGCAACTCACAATTATCACCTGGGATTCCTTTTCTTTCCATCTCTCCTCTCTGCTTTCCATGGAGTCTACCTTATTCCCTCTTGATGTCACACGATGCCTGGCCTCAGCTGCTGCGACTACTTTGTATCCTGTGTTCATTTCTAGCCCAGGGAAAGGAGGGTCAGTATTTCCCAGGATTTTCCTCAAAGGTTCGGAGATTTTTTTTCTGATTAGACCAGTCTTAAGTTCTGGGTCACTCCGAGACCAATCAGTGTGGCCAGGAAGTTAGAAAATGCCGATCAACTTGGCCAAGATCCCATATTTCACCTCCGCCATTGGGGTGAAGCCAGCCTCCCTGTAACAACTTGGATGCCCTATAGAGATCAGGGTCTGATGGGAAAGAAGTAGGTGCAGGGAACAGATTCCATCATTTATTCCACGCAGCCTCCCGAGGTTATATGACCTTGGCCAAGCCACCTCCCCTCCCAGGACTTAGATTTCTTTAGTGCCAAATGAGGGGTTGGAGGAGACAGCCCCCAAGATTTCACATGTTGCCAGAACGCTCTCTTAGTGTCTCAGCAGAGCTTCTCAACCCAGCAGAGGCTGCTCTGGAGCCTCTTGGCAACCCTGCCCTCTGGCTCATCTTTGCTTCAAGGTCTCTGGCCGCATTTTTCCCGTTAGCAGCAATGATGTTATCTGCTTCCTCCACATCTCACATTTAACCACAGTCCTTTGGGGCCCACCCTCTGGCTCCACTCCCTCAGGGGCCAGGGGCTTAAGGAGTGAGGTTAAGGATCTGGGCTCCAAGTCCCTGGAGAGAGAGTTGTTTGTTTATCTCAGACTTATAAAAAGCCATGCAAGAAAGAGGTTTAAAGGCTCCAGGCGGGTTATGGACGCCATAAACAGCTTATGTGATGGTTTTAGGATGAAAAATCACCCGAGATCGAAGAATAGGAAGGCAAGCTTCTGGGGTCACTGGAGCTGTCTTCCTGCACCTCAAGAATCTTTGGGTAAGGAGGTGAGACAAAGATGAGATCAGAACAGCGGGTGGCTTGGAGTGGGAGAAGGGCGTGAATTTTGACGAATCTGCAGTGCACATGTATCTCAGTACCAGGGGGCGCAGTTGGTTTGGGCAGTGCCAGAACCCCTGGGAGCAGGGGCCGGGCATCATGTCTTCTAAGCCAAACCAAGCAAAAGCAGCCACTTTGCATTCGAAGGGGCCCCGGCTTTGGCTTCCACTGTGGTGTAAAAGCGAGACAGGCAGAGCTTGATGTATAAGACAGAGCCGAAAGCACCGCCTGAGACTCCAGCGGCAGCCCTAGCAACAGCAGTGAGAGTCCTTAGAATTTTTAAAGCTCATTCAGTCATTCAACAAAGATGTATTGGACCCTATTATGTGCCGGACGTCATGCTGGGAAAGCAAACTATAGGCGTGTAGAAGATTTCCTAAGGAACTCTGCTCTTAAAATATCGTTCCTAATCTCACTTGACCAAGAGCCAGAGCTCTGAAGAAGCCCCAGACTGATCTGTGGGATTCCCTCCCCACCTCCACCCCAAATCTTGTTTCATCGCCATTTTCCAGTGAAGGGGGGAGTAAATCAGTTAATCAGTAGTTTTCAGCTCCTAGGTGTGCCCAGCACTGAGCTCGGGGCTGTGAGAGAAAGTGGAAGGCCAGGGGGAAAGGGTTCTTCTCTCTCAAGGAGCTGTCAGAAGAGGTCATGGGACAAGACAGGCGCGGGATGGGGTCAGAGGAGGGGGCAGCCACAGCGGAGTCAGTGTGCAAAATGGTTAAGAGTCAGATTTCCCAGGTTTACTCAGCTCTGCTACTTTTTGACTCGGATTTCTAAGTATCAGTTGTTTACCTCGAGGCCTCAGTTTTCTCATCTGTAAAATGAGGCTGATAAAAGGGCCATTCTCATAAGTTTCTTATAAGGATTCAATGAGATAATCCATAAGAAAGGCTTTTTCCTATAGTGACTGACACATAGTAAGTGCTCCGTAAATGTTAGATGATATGTGTCTTATTTATTTTTCTTCATTTATTTGAGACAGGTTCTCACTCTGTTGATCAGACTGGAGTGCAGGGGCACAATCATGGCTCACTGCAGCCTCAAACTCCCAGGCTCAAGCAATTGTTTGGCCTCAGCCTCTCAAGTAGCTGGGACTACAGGTGCACGTCACCACACCCACTAATTTTTTATTATTAATTTTTATTTTATTTATTAATTTTTATTTATTTTGTTATTAGTTTTTATTAGTAACAGTAGGGCACTGCCAATTATGAGTGTCCAAAGGTATCCAGGGCTGCCTGGAGAAAGTAGCACTAAAACCTCATCCTCGACTTTGATAGAAGATTGCACATACCCCCAAGGGTTAGGACCAAGTCTCATTCATCTCTACTTTTTCTGGTGCTTTGCACAGTGCAGGGCACTGAATACATTTTGGGGGTGGAATGAACACTGATCTATGGGGCAGGTAGGAATGAGCCTGGGATGCTGGCAGGTTGGAACCCCATGCTTAGAAGTTCAAGGAACCCAAGTTCAAACACCATCTCGGCAACTTGTTAGTTGTGTGATGTTAAGCAGGTTAGTTAATGTCACCAAACCTCGATACTCTCAACTGTAAGTAGTGAAGAAAAATAATACGTATGTTTTAAGGCTGGGGGGTTGGAGGCAGGGAAATGGGGCAGTGTATATAGCAGAGTGTCATACAGTTTATACAAAATGATAGCACCGGCCAATAGCAGTGTTGAAGGAATATTAGCCTGGTTGCATTGGCAGGGTGGTCTGTAAAGCAATGTTCTCCCCTTGCCTCAATGCTCCTGCCCCAGGTGCCAGAGAGCTAGGGCTGGATATGCCTTCTGCATTTAAATAAACTTCAGCCTAAGAGTTAAATTTAGCCAAATACATTCTTTTTTAAAATTTCGATCATGCATTTATTTCTTTTTGGTTTATTAGAGCCTGTTTTCACCCAGACTCTACAAATTTTGCTCTTGAAAAATTAAAAAATTCCCCCTACGTTTCACTTCTGCGTTGAGACAGAAATCATGAACAGGTGGGTCACCTGTTTCTGAGTGTCAGTGAGTGGTACGCTGAACACCCTCCCAGCCCACTAGGAATCCCAGAGTCTCTCCAATAAGCATTTGCAAGTGCAAGGATTCCACGTGGAGGTCAGAGGAGCCAGGACCTTGAACGTCCCTGGAGCCCCACCCACAGCATGCGAGGTCACAGACAGACAGGCATCACCTGTACCTCTTTCCCCAGTGCAAGAGAAAGAAACAGCCTCTGATCAGACCACAGGCATAGGCAGGTGACAAACCCCGCCAGGAGCCCAGCTGTGCTTCTGCTGAAATCCGCAGGCTTCCAGGCTAATCATCTACCCAATGCATCAGCAGAGGGAGCTCTAGGTAGTAAATAACATTCCTCTGACTGCAGAGTTTCCTGTAAAAAAAATCTGGAGACAGCAAAGGAAAGCGAGGTCCTATGTGGAGAGGGCACCTACCATGTGTGCAGAAGAAAATCACACCAATTTGCAAGAGTAGGGTGTTGGGGCAGGAGTGGGAGATGGGAAAGAGAGAAGAAAATCAGAAAGCACCACATTGCTTAAGAGATGATCTGAATTTGTTTTGTCTCAGCACTTTGACCTTCTAAGGACTCACAGCCTCTATGCTACCCTTGCAAGGCTCTGATGTTTGAAAAGGGGACGCAGTCCAAGTCTCAGACTACACTGGCAGACATTTTTTTTCTTTAAATGTTGATTGTGGGCTGGGCGTGGTGGCTCATGCCTTGTAATTTCAGCAGTTTGGGAGGCCGAGGCAGGTGGATCGCTTGAGGCCAGGAGTTTGAGACCAGCCTGGCCAACATGACGAAACCCCATCTCTACTAAAATGACAAAAATTAGCCGGGGATGATGGTGCATGCCTGTAGTCCCAGATACTTGGAAGGTGGTGGTCACAATGAGCCAAGATTGTGCCACTGCACTCCAGCCTGGGCGACAAAGCAAGACTCCATCTTAAAAAAAAAAAAAAAAAAAAAGTTGATTATATGTGTTATGGGTGCCTAATCTAACCCCTGGGGCCATAGGCTTATTTATGACTGTGGCAATGACAAGGATGACAATGATGACGATGACGGCAATAAGAGCGAACATTTATTGAGCACTTACTAGGTGCCAAGCCGTATATTGAGGACTTCAACAAATCATATTCACCAAATATTTGTTGAGAATTGATTCAATACTTAGGACAGTGTTCATGCCAGGGATTCATGGGAATTCATCCACGGATAAGACACAGAAAGTCCCTCCTGTCATCAAGCTTGCATTCTAAGGAGGCAGACAGGTCAAGACAAACAAATATATAAACAAGTAATATCAGAGAGTGATAAGTGCTATGAAAAAAATAAAAAGAGGCTGAGCATGGTGGCTCACGCCTATAATCCCAGCACTTTGGGAGGCTGAGGCGAGGCGGGAGGATTGCTTGAGTCCAGGACTTTGAGACCAGCTTGGGCAACATAGCCAGACCTCTTTTCTACAAAGAAAAATAATTTAAAAATTAGGGTTGGTAGTGCTCACCTGTAGTCCTAGCTACTTGATTCTTTGTGCCCAGAAGTTCAAGACTACAGTGAGCTAGATTGCACCACTGCACTCCAGCCTGGGTGTCAGATAAAGACCCTGTCTCAAAAAAAAAAAAAAAAAAAAAAAAAGAAAGAAAGAAAAAGAAAAGGAAGCTGACTTGCTAGAGTGACTAAAATAGGACAAGGGGAAACAGGCTGGTCAGGGCAGACCTTACCCAGACAATGACACTGGAGTGTTGATAACCTTCTCAAGAAATGTGACTGTTTAACAACTCTTACTCCATTTATGCATCAAGCATCATCTACTGACTGAACAAATAACTGTAGATCCATTTTTCAAATGTGTGATATATAAATGATGCTAAATTCATTGTCATTCTTTGGGCATTTTGGATTTTCTTAAAGTGATTAGTAATAACTATTTGCATGGTCATGATGGGAGCTATGGAATGGGTTAGGAAAAAGTTCACCAAAAAAGAAAAGAGTTAAAAATATCCATCTCACCAAAGAAGAATTGAGAGCAACTAATGTATTAGATCTCAAATATTTTTGGTCCAAATACTTTTTTAATTTCTTAACTTTACCCTCCTCACCCCTCTCAAAGGTTCTGTATGCCACAGATGTTTCTATTTAGCCCCTGTATCTTTAAGTCGGCAGGCTGAGCCCCGTAGTCCCCAAATCACCTCTCCCATCTTGTTTGTAGCTTCTTCTCTGCACCCCAATGTCAACCCATCCTGCACCTATTGCTATTTCTCTCTGTGTCTCTCAAATCTCTTTTACCTGAACCCCTAAGAATTC